>NC_000013.11:79325149-79477990 GCF_000001405.40 Homo sapiens
ATGTACAGCATAATACTTGAATATGGTGGCAAACGACTGTTACTAGTTTACATATTTACTATACTATACTCTTTATCATTATTTTAGAGTGTACTCTAATTTTTTTTAAGTTAATTATAAAACAGCCTCAGGCAGTTTCCTCAGGAGGTATTTCAGAAGAAGGAACTGTTATCGTAGGCCTCAGCCTATAATACACACATTGCCTATGACAGCTGTGTGTGTGTTACTGCCCCTCAAGACTTTCCAGTGGGACAAGACGTAAAGGTAGAAAACGGTGATACTGATGATTCTGACCATGTTTAGACATAGACTAATGTATGTGTTTGTGTCTTAGTTTTTAATTAAAAGTTTAAAAAGTAAAACATAAAAAAATGTTAAAAATAGACAAAAGCTTATTGAATAAGGATATAAAGAAAGTATTTTTGTACAGCTGTGCAACGTGTCTGTTTTATGCTAAGTGGCGTTACAAGAGTCAAAAAGTTTTTAAAAATTGTAAAGTTTAAAAGTAAAAGCTAGAGCAAACTAAGGTTAATTTATTATTAAAGAAAGATAAAATGTTCTTATAAACTTAGTATAGCCTAAGTGTACAGTGTTTATAAGGTCTAAAGTACGAGTTTATAAAATACGATGGTAATGTTCTAGGCCTTTACATTCACTCACTAACTCACCCAGAGCAATTTCCAGTCCTGCAAATGCCATTCATGGTAGGTACCCCATACAGGTATACCATGTTTTATCTTTTATACCCTATTTTTACTGTACCTTTTCTATGTTTAGATATGTTTGCCTACACAAATACTTACCATTGTGTTACAAGTGCCTCAGTATTCAGTATAGTTAACACAATGCCAGAGTTTCGTAGCCTAAGACCAACGGGCTATATACCATAGAGTGTAGGTGTGTAGTAGGTTATATCATTTATGTTTGTGTAAATACACTCTGTGATGTGTACACAACAATGAAATTGTCTAACAACACATTTTTCAGGTCATATCCCTCTTAAGTGGCACATGATTGTATAAACTTAGGTCTATTTCTGAACTGTATTGTACTACATTATCTGCTTTGTACTGCTTTTAAACAGTACGAATAATTAATGCAAATAACTTTTTAAAGTATGCTATGGCAGTGCTTCAAGAGTTATGCATGTACTTTAAAATTCCATTAAAATATATTTTTAAAAGTGAACTGTATAGCCATTTATAAAATGTTAAGGAACACCATGTTTAAATGTGCTCTACAGGATGCCTACTTGGGCTAGGACGTAGTGGTCAAAAAGGTGAAAGTGGACCTAAATGTAAAAATCCACAAAATATGAAAGGGGGGGAAATAGTATCAGATGAAGATAAAATTTGCTTCCCAATGCAAATGTAGCTGATAATCTAGATTAAAAAGATAATTTTTGAAAAAACTACCAAAGTACCAAACTAAAGCCAGCAAAGATAAACTTAAACAAATCATTTCTACAAAACAGCCTGTAAAAAGACACATTTAATCATTAGATACTGATAGTTTCACAAATGAATTCTATTAAAATTTTAAAAAACATATTTCCAAAGCAACTTAAATTATCTCAGAAAGCAAAGAATAATGGAAACTTTCCAATGACAGGTAATAGAGATACCTGACAAAAATATCCCTCCCAAAATTTACAAACCAATCTTACTTTTGAAAATCATTTTAAAAAGTAAAAAGAGAAATAGAAAGAAAAAGAAGAGACTTTAGTGATTTTTAAAAATACAGTACTATGGGATTTAAACCAGAAGAGAATGATTAGAAGCAGTGCAATGAAATAAGGTGAAAAAGAAAAAAAAAAAGTCATTGTTATACAAACATCAAAAAGCATTATAAAAATCCATTTCTAGCCTGGGCGTAGTGACAGAAACCTGTAATTCTAGCACTTTGTGAGGCTGAGACAGGCAGATTGGTTGAGCTCAGGAGTTCAAGACCAGCCTGGACAACATGGTGAGACCCCATCTCTACAAAAAATACAAAAATTAGCCAACTGTGGCGGCGTGTGCCTATAGTCCCAGCTACTTGGGAGACTGAGGTGGGAGGATCACCTGAGCTCAGGAAGTCAAGGCTGCAGTGAGCTGTGATCAGACCACTGCACTCTAGCCTGGGTGACAGAATGAGAACCTGTCTCAAAAAAAAAAAAAAAAAATCCATTTCTGATCAAAAATCTTAATGAAACAGAGTCATTTGTATTCTACCTTAAGACAAAAAGCCAGCATCACACATAATACTGAAAATACTAGAAGCATTTTCATTCTGCAAAAAAGTCAGTCACTATTATTATCGATGTTTTTAACATTTTTCTAAAGGTAAACGATGAAATAACAGAAAGTAGTATAAGTGTAGAAATGTGAGAGGTAAAACTATGTTTAACCAAAGATAAATTGAATGAAAACCCAAAAAACCCAAGAGAGCAAAATTAAAACCATCAAATAGTTTGATAAGATGGCAGTTACACATTTAATAAAAAAAGATGAACAGTCTTCCTACATATGAAGAACCAATAGAAAATATTATGGAACAAAAGATCTCATTTAAAATAGCAATAAAAAGATGAATTATTATGGGGAAATTTATAAGCAATGTATGTTGTCTATATAAAGAAACCATAAGCAGGAAGGGTGGGAGACAGATGAGGGTTGAAAAATTACCTAATGGGTACAATGTTCACTATTTGGGTAATGGGTATACTAGAACCCCAAACCCTACCAGTATGCAATATACTCATTAACAAACGTGCATGTGTACTCCCTGAATCTAAAAATTAAATTAATTTTTAAAAAAGAAAACCTTAACACTAGTAATATATACTGGCTATGTTAAAAAAAATTAAAATGCTCTTACAATGTAAAAAGTACTGAAGAACTTGAAAGACAATGAGGTTTTAGAGGAAGACTTAGCATTTGAGGAAAATTTAGTATTATTATGTTCATTCTCCCATAACTTAGTCTATCTTTTTGAAACTAAGTTTATTCAAAAGTTTACATCGAAAATAAACACCTAAAACATACCAGCAAGATTCTGAAAGTGAGTAATAATTGGGTGTGAGAGGGAATCCAAACTGCCCTGACAAACTACTGAGTTTAGAAAGCTAGTTTAATTAAAACAGTGAGAAACAGGCACATGAAGAGAGAACTCATCAATGGAAGAGTCTGGAACACACCCAAATAAACATATCAGAAATTTATATATTTCACATAAGCCTGGAAAAACTAGATTTAACTAATGAACCCAACAGGCTTCCTATTTCACTCCTTAGACCAAATAAGTTCCACGTAAATTTTTAAAAAAATGAATGTGAAGTCTTCAAAGAAAAAAAAAAGCCTATTAATATTAAGAGTATTAGAAAAAACAAGGGAAAATGTTTCTTATCTCAGATTGGTGAAAGCCTTTCAAACTATAAAAAAAGATTAACTGGACAATTAACTATTATTGTGGAAAATACAGCATAAATGAAAATTCATAAAAATATAAGCTATGAGCTAATTTCCAAATATACAAAGAGCCCCTGCATTAAGTAAAAAAAAAAAAAAAAAAAAAAAAGACTACTCAGCAAAATAATAGAATGGGCAAATGACATTAACAGTTGATAGACATAAAAACAAACAATAAAAACAGACAGCATTTAATTAAACATGAAAATGGCTCAACTACAATCAGAAAAGTGAATTAAAACCTAAATGAGTTTCTATTTCAGTTTGATAAACTGAAGATAAAACTGATACCCCACTCCGATAAAAATGAGGACAAACTACATACCTATGGATTTTTTTTTTTAATAAGAAAAGTAGTAAAACCACTATGTAGCGTACACACTATGGCAAGAGTGTAGGGAAAAAGCATTCTCATACATCTTTGGTGGGCAAATAAGTATAACCTTTATGGTGGGCAATTTTCATTAAAAATTTAAACGTACATATCCGTTCACCCACATGTTGGTGTCAGTGAGAAAGGTGGAAAAATGTAGAGACATTAAGACCCATGAGATTAAGTAAAAACCATAGAGTCTAGAATTAACAAGTATCAGAGTGAATTCTGAATTTATCTTTACCTATCTACTTGTATGTGTGTATATATGTGTATGTATTAAAAACTTTATAGCCCCAAATTAAATGCAAAGTATCAGTATGAGCTCTAAATTTCTTTATACATGTGTATATATGTGCATATACATATATATATATGTATGTTTTTTTTTCACTCCCAGTTCTGACAACTGAAAAGGATTAGTGATGGTAACATACTTAATAGTAATGCGTACCCCTAGTACCCAAACTGTAGTGTCTAAATATCTTTGCCTAATAAATAAACCAAAGCTCCTTAGAGAAAGGGTCAATTCCAGGTCTGGAAGAGACAGTGTTTAAAATGAACCTAGAACACCTTCTCATACCAGAAGGAACAGAACCACTAGGATCCTGTCAAAAGCACTCAGGAGCCAACCTGTAGTCTCCTGGCCAAAGATGGAATAACTTCAACATTAATAACTGAGAGCAATGGATTTGTACCCATAAAATGTTTATATATGAATTTATGACTGCATAACACCAATCAAGCTATATCAAAATATGAACCTTATCTAGATCCTTATTTTTAAAAAGTAAATTTACAAGAAATTAGACAAATGTCAACCCTGACTGGATATTTGATATTTAGGAATATAATTTTTAGGTGTGATAGTAGTACTGTATTTTTTTAAGGCTCTATCATTCGAAGAGCCAACCTACGTTAAAACCTAAATGAAAAAGGAAGGAATCAAACCTCTAGAAACTGGTTCCATCATTTAAGGTTCTATCATCTAAAATGTTTACAGATGAAATGATACAGTGACTGTGAATAGCTCCAAAATAAGGAGTGGGCAAGTTGTAGCGAGTGAAATATAGATGAAATAAGATTGGCCCTAAGTCGATAACTGTTGAAGCTCAATGATGTGCATATGTGAATACATTTTATAATTCTAATTTCTATACTATAAAATGTACACAAAATTTGAGTTTTAAAGCTGAAATAGTTTATTCAGAGGCTTGTCTCTAGTCTTTTGACTATTTATTCTTACACACATTCATTCAAAGCTTACAGCAAATTAAGGAATGGCATATACATAACAGAAAGCACAAAGGTTAAAGATCTAACAAAGGAGGAAAAAACTATGAAAAGTAATTGTGGATTCCACATCTTACGTGGAAAATGTTCTGGAAACAATTAAGTTTGGAAAAATGTTGGGTGAAACAAAATTAAACAGGTTTGTTTACCTCTGGACTTAGTCCATTTAGACTACAGTTCTAAATGGAATATAAAAATGCAGCCTTTCACAAACTTATCTGACAAGAGAATCTTTTGTTAGGGGATCTCTTGCAGAAACAGTGTTTTGCAAAAACTACAGAGAAAACTGACTTGAAATACAGATAATTACCGAAAAGTAAACTGCAATCCTATGGTTCCTTACGTTTTTAGTAACGATAATATAACTAATATATAAAAGAAGGCTAAAAGCAAGTTTAGTAATATTTGTAATGTTATAGAATGTTAAAGCACGAGTTATGAACACAAATACATATAATTATATAATATATATGACCACACATTTTTAAAAACATGCAAAATCTAATTTTTAGAAGTTACAAAGAAAGACTTCCAATTCTTTAACTCTTGAGTTCAATGCACATGGCTACTTTCCCACAAGCTTCAGACCTCAAGTTACTAATTCTGGTAGCACAGTGCCCATCACATAGCAGCACTTAATAACTATTAAGTATCAGTAAAAACACACACACATACACACACACACTCTGCTATGCACATAATTTGACTTCTTTTGGTTGAATCCATTTAGTAAAACATGATTCTCTTTCCCCCTATTTTTTGCTAAGATAGGGTCTGGCTCTGTCGCCCAGGCTGAAGCACAGTGGCATGATCTCAGCTCGCTGCAACCTCTGCCTCCTGGGCTCAGGTGATCCTCCCACCTTAGCCTCGCAAACAGCTGGGACTGCAGGTGCACGCCACCACACCTGGCTGATTTTTTGGTAGAGATGGGGTTTCTCCATGTTGCCCAGGCTGGTCTCGAACTCCTGGACTCAAGAGATCCACCCCACTTGGCCTCCCAAAGTGGTGGGATTACAGGTGTGAGCCACTGCGCCTGGCCCCTCTTTCCTTTTGATATAAAAAATTGTACCTCGCAGCCAGGCACAGTGGCTCATGCCTGTAACCCCAGCACTTTGGGATGCTGAGGCAGGTGGATCACGAGGTCAGGAGATCGAGACCATCCTGGCTAACATGGTGAAACCCTGTCTCTACTAAAAATACAAAAAAAAAAAAAAAAAAAATTAACTGGGCGTGGTGGCAGGCACCTCTAGTCCCAGCTACTCGGGAGGCTGAGGCAGGAGAATGGCATGAAGCCAAGAGAGGCGGAGCTTGCAGTGAGCTGAGATCACACCACTGCACTCCAGCCTGGGCAACACAGCGAGACTCCGCCTCAAAAAAAAAAAAAAATTGTACCTCTGTGAGTTTGGGACTATAGGTTTCATTTTTGTTCTGATTCTTCTAAAACAGCAACTTAATTATTCCTATTCTGAACAGGATCTTGGGCTCCTACAAAGGTACAGTAACAATTCAGTGCAGAAAAGATAATATTCAAATCAGTCATGGAAGAGACGACTGCTTTACTCTTGTCTGAGTACTTATCCAACTTTAGTACTTTGGCATGGTGATAGACAAAAAAATAGAAAATAAGGTAATAGGAACCATCTTCTAGGTAACAAGGCAGAGTCAAACCATAAACCATCTTAACCTAAAGCTAACAGTGTTCTGCTTATACTGATGGTCTTTAAAATGCTTCAATATTTTTCCTGAGGAAAACTTCTCACTTTTCAGTTATATCTGAATGTCTCAATTACCTTATTTATTCTTGTACTTTCATCTTGAAATACTATGCATCTATTGATTATAGAAAATAAATTCATTCAGTCATCTAGGATAATGGTCCAGAAAACAAGAACAATGTAATGTTTGACAGTAAACATTGGCAAGGGCTGACAGTTTTTTCTTGGGAAGGCCTATCCTTTACTGCGAGTTCATGTTCTCCTACATTTTCAGTGTTAAAATTTCCTTTATTTTATATAACAATGGTGATAGAACATGACAATCTTTTTGTATTTTTAAAGTATTCTTCCCTGGCAAAATAAAAAGTTGATACCTCTATGACAAACACACAAATTTTTAAATTCCTAAACTTTACTGTTCCCTGAAATCCAAAAGTTTGAAGACCACTGCTCTATATGTATCCTGCTTGTATAAGATAAGCTTCAACTTAATTTTCTATTCTTTTCAACATTACAAAATTTTAAGAAACTTTCTGGCTTAAGGATATGCTTATGCTTTAACAACTTTTGTAACTAAAAATCTAAACATTTATCATAGCAGTGGTCATTACTCTTTTTAGTCTATTAAGTAAATCCAACTAAAGCTATTTCCTCTAAATAGGTAATTCTCATTAGACCTAACTTGGCCTTAGTTATTCTGTCACTTATTCAACCTTCATGTAATTCAGTGCTAAAGTCTTCCTTATACATTAATCCCTGGTATTTTTTATTGTTATTAATTTTGAAAAATACATTGTATACACGCCTAAGGTACAAAAAGCAAGACCCAAGAAAGAAGGTACGTGTCAAAAGTCTTTCCGCGAGCAAAATTTCCAAAAATTATTTAAGAAGAGGTTTTAATTTTTTCTCAGCCATATAAGCAAGCAAGGGAAGTAGTACATATTTAAAGTTCTTAATAAATCCACAAATTTGGCAATATCTGAACCATTTGTACAGTAACAACTATCATTATTTTATAATACCACTATTCCCTAGAAAATACATAAAACATAAAACTACCTATCTAGCAAGAGACTAAAAATTATCAACTGAAGCCACCACTGAAAGGAAGCTTACTCTAAACTTGCACTTAACAATACCCTGGAGAGAACATTTAATCAAAGATCTACCTTTTTCAATATAACATACACACATACAAGCTTATGAGTTTTAAAATCTCATCAATTTTAAATTACTTTTTACTTTCACAAAAGAACATTAAAGAAATGATTATTCAAAGCTAGCTTTAAAAAGAGAACACCCTAAGATCAGGAATTCCTATTTTATAAAATAATATACTACCCCCTACCTCTACCCCCAAAACTAGATTTTTTCAAGGCTCCAGTTGAATGACTTATCAGACCCATAGTCTTATGGTTACAATGCCCCAAGGGCAACTTCTACCAGGTAAGCAATGTACCACTGTGCTGGCAGAGAACATTCACTACAAAGAGGATAAATAAATGTAGAGGTTTTTTCAAAACTTATTTAAGTTGAAATCAACTTAAAACTTCTGAAAAGCATCTCACTCTTTCATTGCTTTCATTTGGAAAACTATTTCATCCCTGGAACAATGGCAAGGACAAAACAGTGACACTGTCTTCTCTACAATTCCTGAAGAAAGAACACACAGGGCAAAAAAGGCTCCTATGAATCCCCTACACCTCACTCCCATTTTCCTTTTTTTTTAATCTTTGAAACCCAAATGAAAGACAAGGTTGCAGATATTCCGGTCAGTCCTTGGAAAGACAATTCAAGATTGATAGTTTAAGGTAACTTTACTAAGAGTACCCTCAAAGTTAGAGGTATAGACCATGTCTTAGGCAAAAAGTCATAGAAGTCTAGTTGGGGCTATGCTGAACTAGGGACACTTCTTTTAGAGTTCAACCTGATGAGACCAGGAAGCAGTAGATGAGGAATGGCTAAGATGGGCAGACATTAGAACTGCTTGTACCTTATCCCTCACCACTCATTCTGCCAAAGCAGATCCTGTTTTGGGTCAGCTGAAAAAAAAGAATAATGGGTAGTGGAGTGGCCCTATCTACTATGAAAAAGAAAGAAAGGAGAATCCCTGGTATCTCACGACAGCACAATTTGACATTCCACTTGGTGACTAAATATGTATTTTAATTGTATTATGTTACACACAGAATTGCTTATAACTGCATTAGGACATTCTTTGAGGGCATGAATTCCACTTCAGGTGTTCTACCTATTGTCAAAGCATATTATTTAGTAAGTTAAAAAATTCATTTATATTAAAACTTAAAAGTAATACTTATAAATCATTTAAATCTGAATTGATAAATTATTTTTAAAACTTACTGCTTCAGCTTCTGCTCTTGTCTTGAATGTAATTACTGCATGAAGTGAGGAATCATCAATCTGACAATCTTCAATTTCACCATATTGCTTTAAATTAAAAAAAAAGTATTTCCTCCAAATAAATATTTTGAAATATCCAAAAATCCTAATGGTATTAAAAAACATTAAAATACTAATAAATATAACCCAGAATACATAACAATTCATAATGGTTAACAGAAAAGTATGGTGAGTAATTTATTTTAGTACTTGATAAGATAAAAGGTGGTCCTGTCTTCCAATCTTACATACAATTCACACTTCCCAGAATTAGTAAAACTTATACTCAATTGAACTATGCTTTAAATGAAGGAAATAATGGTCAAAGCCTGAGCGTTCTTGCTAACTAACTTTCCTCTTATACTCACTAAACCAATCCCAAGATAAACTCTTTCTTAAGCAACATACTGAATCCTCAGAATTTGTGAGTTTTTGGTATCATTCTCAATAAATGGGGAAAGAAAGAAAAAGAAAATTTAAGTAACTTCCCCAAAGTTAATTGTTAATTAATGGGAAGAGATTCCAGGTCTCTTGATTCAAAAGTTTAACACCCTAACTGACCATGGTTTTGCTTACTACACACTCTACTGTACTTTATAGTTGTTTAGAACATTTAAAAGCTAAACACATTATATTATTCCTGTTTTTGGTTTGTTGGATTTTTTTCCCTCATGTGTGGGAGGATTTTTCTACAAACAGCAACCTTTATCCCACAAAATTCTAGTCCTTTATATATCATTATCAATACCTTCCTAATTATCCCCCCCAAAAATTATAACTGTAATCTCATTAGCTCCACACATATCATAGAAATGTTCTGTAGAGCACAGTAAAGAGAATGTCCTAGAGCCACTAAGATTCTAGCTCTGCCAGTTATTAGCTGTGTAAACAAGTTACTTAACCTCATCATGCATCATTTTCTTCACCTCTAAAATGGGCGTAAATAAAGGTATCTACCTCACAGGGTTATCCAAATAATTCATAATGAATTATTGTAAGGCACTCAGAGGGCATACCTGCCACAAAGTAAGTGCTCTATAGGTTTTTAGTTATAATTTTTATTACTATTACTACTGGTACTGGAAGATACAGCATTTTTGTTAATCACAATTTGTAATAGTTAATGGTCCTTTAACATCACATATATTAAATAATGTAAATTTTTTTTCCTCTGACATCCATCATGTGTTCAAATCATAGGTTGAGAGAAAAGAAGCTAAACTTCAACTAAACCTGTGCTCATACTTAAGACTAATAATTTAAATGTGAACTTTGGAGTGAAATTTCAATGTCCAAATGCATGTCAGAATTTTCATTTAGAGGCTCTGAATACTTCTCAGCCAAAAGCACCTTAGTCTCACCAAAACATAAATCACAACAAACTCACTTTGTCTGTTTGGATTATTTTAGCACATTCATTGTTAGTTTCCTGATTAGCTGTAAAACTATACACAACATACAAATTATCTGGCTCTCCTTTCTCTTGTGGAAGGTGTGGAAGTGGGGTACACAGCAGGGAAAAGATGGGCAAGATTTATTTCCAAGCTCCTTTCTAGTTCTCTTAATTCCTTTCTTTATCCCTTTAAATCCACCAAGAACAGGACTTTAGACTCCTCATTCTTAAATACTAATCATTTTGGTTATTTCTTAAACATAAACCATTTCTGTCAATATCTCCTTATGTCCTGACAAAATATCTGTAACTGCTGCAAGCCTCCAATATGATTTTTAAACACCTAAGTCTGAATTTTCAAAAGGTTAAATCATTTATGTACCTACCTACTAGCTTACCTATTCTTTAAGATCTAAATTACAGTTTTACTACTTTATGAAACTTTCCTCTATTGTTCTTTTTTCCATCATATGCCAGCGTGATACTTCTCTAAGTTACTAAAGTATTTATAGTGCTTAATAAATTATAATTTGATTATAAATTATGTCTGTAGTTTATTCTGTGTTAAACTGATACATGTAAAAGCCTTGAGGATAAAGAACTGATTATTTCCTTCATATCTCCAGAGCAACTACTATTAAATATAATGCTGAGGGTAAAACTGATGCTTAGTAACCAACCTTTGGGATACCACTAAGAATCACAGCATTTGAGATGAAAGGGCCATTCAGCAGGTATAATCTTCATTTTGAACATGAGCCTAATAAATCCCAGGAAGTCCAAGTTAAATAATGGATTAACAGAGACTAGAATCCCATTCTCCCTTCTTGTAGGTCAATATATTACCATTATACAAAGTCTTTTTCATTACATCCTGACACTGACGGAGGCAACTTCAAGATCATAGGTCAAAATTTTATCTTGTTTCAATACTGGGTCAGCTAGATCAAGAATACATTTTTAACAAACACAAACCTTATTTTAAAAATCTGGATGGCCCATGCAATATGTTAACTTTTTCTTTAAAAGTAAATATCAAATCAAACTAAACTACAAGACTTCCCTCTCTGAAACAGCAAAGTTTATATTGTTCATTTCACAGTATTTCATGGCCTACTAAGTGTAAGAATAGTAATGTCTCTTCTAGATAATTATACAAATCCTACAGTTTGTTTTTAAATTAACAAAAAAATTAAAGATTAAACTCTTTGTTCAGATTAACGAGTTGAAATTACTTATGTCCTTTTCATAACTTCCTCTTTAATTATGTCTACTATCCCCAATGATGATTATCAGCATTTGTTTTGTTGAGCAGTAAGAAAGTACCGCAAAATGAGGAAGAAGATCTTCTCTATCGCTCTCCGTAAATGCAGAAATCTCCAATGCCCTGGGACGGTGATCCACCACAGCATGACCAGGCACACCTCGCCCTCGCCCTCGCCCCCTGCCTCGGCCATGAACTGCACCTCGACCTCTTGAATGAATTCCTCTGCCCCGACCAGATGAAAGAATCCCTCGTTTGGCAGCCTAGAAGAGATTAGACACACAGGTTAAACAATGCTGTGATTACTAACACAAGCCAAGCATTACACTCTGGCAGATGAATAAAACTTTAATGCAATTTGACAATGTATTCAAATGCCCTATAAAAGGATCACATAATTTAAATTGGGGTTTTAGTTTAGTGAAAGTAAATGTAGGTGGCTAGTAAACTGAAACAAAAAAATAACACTGAGGTCTTGGAATTACTAAATGTGCCTTTTTCTAAGTTCTTGCTCTCTAAGACATCAGGATATATCACAAAAAGATCAGCAACTCCTGATTTCCAAGTATGCAGTGTTAAATGTTACTTCAGAAGTCAGGATAATAAACAGATAATACCTACATTCACAATAAATACATTTTTTCCAGTTATGATTTTCTATTTGTTTGCCAATTGACTTCAATAGGTACAGTTATCTCAAATCATTTTAATTACTTATCACTAACATCATTATAGAACTGATGTAACACACTGATATTCTACCACATTATTCTGTATGATGATAGCACACCACTCCTTCATTCCACAAATACTTAATGTGCACTTTCTGTGTGCAAGTCTTTACCCTCATGAAACCCAAGTCGTAAGTGTAAAGAAGCATTAAACAACTAAGTTATGGCCAGGAGTGGTGGCTCACGCCTGTAATCCCAAAACTTTAGGAGGCCGAGGCAGGCAGATCAACTGAGGCCAAAAGTTCAAGACCAGCCTGACCAACATGGAAAAACCTCATCTCTACTAAAAATACTGAAAATTAGCCAGGCGTAGTGCCTGTAGTCCCAGCTACTCGGGAGGCTGAGGCAGGAGAATCACTTGAACCTGGGAGGCAGAGGTTGCAGCGAGCCGAGATCGCGCCACTACACTCCAGCCTGGGCGACAGAGCAAGATTCCATCTTAAAAAACAACAAGAGCAACTAAGTTATTTAACTATATTAATGAGAAGTGACTCAAAACGTGAAGAAATGCTTTAAGATTCGAAAAGAACTTCAAAGATTTGCAGTGAATAACCCACTAGAATGTACGTTCCCTCAAGATATTTTTTTTTCCATTTTATTCTCCGCTTTATTCCCAGCAGTAGCTGGTGGATTGTATTTAATACTTGTTCAATGAATCAAAGGAGGAGCAAAGAAAAAAGGCAAGAATGAGGTAGGGGTTACGGCATGAAAAAAGGCACCAACGCTGAAAGAAATGTAATTTCCCAAAGAATGAATATAATCCAGTGTAGCTGGATGGAGAGATAAGCCTGGAGAAAGGCAGAGTCAGATTACACATAACTTTAAGGATCATGTTAAGGATTCTGAGTTTTATCCCAAGAGCCATAAAAATAAATTAAAAGATTTTAAGCAGTAAAAGAGTGATGTAACCAAATCAGTGCTGAAGAGGATATTCTGGCTAGAGTTTTAAGAACAGAGTAGAAGGAAGAAAAGAAGCTGGGAAACCATTCAGTATGCCACTACAAAAGACCTGAAGAAGGAAGTCTGGACTACAGTAGTGGCAATGGAGATAGAAGTAAACGCATTTAAGATACATTTAGGAGTAACATATATAAAATTTGATAATTAATTAGATATAGATGCTGAAGCAAAGGGAGAAATCAATTAAGACTGCCAGATTTCTGGTTTGTATAACTGTACAGATGGGGTGTAGGAGCAAGATAAGCAAAATTTTGAAGATGTTGAGTCTTAGATGTGAGATACCCAAATGGAAGTGTGAAGCAGGCACAGCTGCCAAATCTCTGCTAGTACAGGTATTTCAGTTTCTGCATCTCAAGACAGTTAATCTTAGCATTAGCTAAAATAATCATCTAATATCCAAATAATAATGCCAAGTGAAATAAGCCAGGCAAAGAAATACAAATACTGTATGATCTCACTTATACATGGAATCTAAAACAATCAAACTCATAGAAGCAGACAGCAGAATGGTGGTTACCAGGGGCTGTGGGGACAGGAAGAATGGAGAGATGTTGGTCAAAGTGTACAATGTTTCAGTCAGATAGGAAGAGTAAGTTCTAGAGATCTATTGTACAGCACTGGTTGGTGACCACAGTTAATAATAATTATTGTATACTTGAAAATTGCTGAGAGAGTAGAGTTTAAATGTTCAATTTTCATCAAAAAAATCACAAGTATGTGGGGTGATGGACATGTTAGCTTGACGTAATCAATTCACAACTTACACATATATCAAAACATTTTGGATTATCATATATATAATTCTTCATTTGTCAATATAACAAAATAACACGTAATAATAAATTTTGAAGCTCAAGGATTAATATTAGTAATAGAACAGTATATACGGAAGTATGCTCTGAGGAATATTAATGCCTCAAAATGCTCCTTGAAAAGGAGGGTCCTTGGACAAATAAACTTGAGTAACACTGAATACTTAATATGTATTTTTAGAGATTCAGAAATTAAAAGCCTCTAAGAAACCCCACAGTAAAAACGCATATCCAATATAACCTGTTCTAAGGTTGTATTATTTAGCCTAAGAACCTTTTTTCACCAGTTTTCTATTAACAACTAATGGAATGACTGTGCTGAATGAACACACTCTGGGAAGTACTGCATTACTGCATAAAACTAATATTCACTGAAAACTAAACGTAAGCCGTGATAAAGGAAAAACAGAAAATGTCATTCAGTGTTTAGCTATGTTATAATAAAAAAGCAAAACACAGAATAATAAGGAATTTTGTTAATGCTATTATTTATTTAAATTATGGGCCAGAATTTTGAAAATGATATTTTGTTTCAAAGATTCCACCAACACTGGCATAAAATCGCTACAATGGGAAAAACACAATTTCTCTATTAACATAAAAGAAATATTTTTCAAACTTTTTTTTTTCCCCAAAAAAAATACTGGGCAGGACACACATGCAACCACATCAAGTTTCCAGAGAATGCAAAGGTATGAACATTTAGGACAACATCCTATGGCTTCCTATGACTTTCAGAGAAGACAGAGCTTTAAGGCAAGTATGGTAGCTACTAAATGTTAAGTCTTTAATACCTGGATGGCAGTATTCAAAACAGATTTCTACCGTGTCCAAAAAATGATCAAGTTGCCAACAAGTTAAGAAAAAAGCATTAATCTCAGCTAAAGCTAAATAATCTAAAGTATAAAAATCTTAAATTCCTGTATCAAACCACAATACAGACATGTGCCAACTATATTAATGACGTTAATGTCTATTTCAAAATACAGTTCCAATCTTTGAACCTCTTTTTGCTATTCAAAAATTCTCTCTCATATCATATAACAGGAATCAATTTCACTAGGAGTTGTTTCTTATATAAATAACCATCTAATTAAATTACAAGAAAGAAGTTTATTTCTCTTTTCTAAACATCCACAGCACCATCTATAGGCAAAACTCAAGTAAACATATTCTTCAAAATAGTTCTCAATATAGTTCTCCAACTAAAACTCGCATACAGCAACTCAATTTATATGCAAAGAATATCTCCATAAGAATACCTGAAAAGACTTTATTATAAGTTTTCTATTCCAGGGAGGACAGACCAAAAATAGAAAGAAATAAAATTCATTAGAAATGGAGGAACTTGGGGATATAGGCAGAATTACTGCCACTCCTCATTAAATAAGATTTTATCTAGTACCTCTGAAAAATTTGTTGACCTCTTCCCTCTTTCCTATATTAACATCTCAATATGTATGCCAGGGATTACCAACAATTACTAATGAGAATGAAGGGAAGGGAATATATTTTTAAATTGACCACTACAACTACATTTGCTTCTTTTAAGCCTACTGTGTAGTTGTGATTAAACATACTTCCAGCTGTAATTCTGTATACTTTCTCCTAAGTTCAGTGACTTCTTCTCCAGCCTGCATCTTCTTATATAAATCCAGTTCTGTGTCAAGTAATTCCTTCTGCATCTAAAAAATAGTAATTAATATTTTAGGTGACAGTAATTACTATCCTGTATTGATACAAACCTTTTTAAAGTAACTTTTACGCAGTCCCATTTAATCCATATATTTCTATCTCCAGTATAATCACTCTAATCCAAGCCAAAATACTCCACACCTCCACAATAACTGCAACAGCTTCCTAACTTGTTGCTACTTTCACTGATTTTCCTATAATTCATTTTCCATACAGCAGCCAGAAGGAGATTTACACAGACTGATATGGGGTAATTAAAGGAAATAACTGAAAGGAAAAGTAAAAAACAAACCCTAAAAAACCAAGGTGCTAATGAGCAATACAGAGTATGTTTTTATGTAGAAAACATACCTATCTACATTCATATATTTACAAAAAGAAAAACTAGGATAAACCACAACTAATGATACTGGTGACCTATAAGGGATGGGTGGGGACAGAGTGCCAGGAGTCAAAGGGAAAGGGGTCTTTTATGTATTCCTTTTTATATAGTTTTGCTTTTGAACCATGAGAATTGTTTCACTTGTTCAAAGAATAAAATACAATCTGCAAGAATTGGGGCCAGGGAGAGGCGATCCAAAACTGAATACAAATGCAAATAGATTTAACTTTATCAAATTAGTAACAACTACACAAAAGGGGGAAAAAAGTAATTTTAGACCACAGTTCTGACTTTACACCTTTAGTGGAATACACCGAGGCTGTAAAGAACGTAAATACATTTGAATTTTATATTTAGTTAGTTGTTGGAAGTGGTATTGTTGTAGCAATTTTTGAGCTACTTTGAACGTATTATAGCACTGTGTTTAATAATAATATATTGATATTAGTGGAACGAAGTTGTCATTATGGGAACAGAAATAAAATACGAAATAAGGAAGAGCCATGTGATGTTGGGTTTGAATTTAAAATATCAATTAGAGTCATGACCTTATACATATATACATACAGACACACCAAGTATAAACATTGTATAACCCTGTTTTTTTCTTAATCACTTATTACCATCTATGTAGATTGATCTACCTGATCAACCTGAATTTTCCCCTTTTCAGTCAATCCACCGTGTACGGTGTTGTCAGAATGTTATTCATACTTGTCTATTATTAACCCTCTATATCACCAACTACTATTATATAAAACTAGTCAAGCAGTCAAGTACCTATATCACTTTGTCCTCAAGCGGCCTTTTCAAGGTTACCCATGACTATTTTTCTAATTAGTGACTTTCCAACTATAACAGAATTTAAAAGATTAGTAGAGTTTACTTGTTTGTACTTTTTTATTTATGGCAGGGGGAGAATGGTACATACAATGGTCAGATTTTGAACAGAAGATATTACCTACAAGAAAAACTGAATCTTAAAAATGTAGTGTCTAATGCTTGTTAATAAGTAATAATATGAACAACAATGAAATTAAATACCTGAGTCTTGGTTTTTATACTTTTTGGAAGACAGCGTCCAGGAGAAGCAGCTTTGACCTCATCTTTCAACTTGGTAATATTTTTTGTCAAAACCTCTAAAGTTTTCATTATTTCTGCTTTATCTTCAGACTTCATTGTTTTGTTTTTCTCCAGTTTTGAAATTAACATCTGCCAAATTTTTAAAAAGAGAAAAATAAAGCTAATTACTCCTATTATCATTAACAAAACAAACACTGCAAAGTAATTTAAAAATAAATATTACTACTTTTTTTAGTTTATGCATTCGTGAGAAGGCTAACAACCATGAATTATCTAAAGATCGCAGAATAGCAGATTTGGTGATGCTAACTATCTCAACTCAAGTTTTACTCTTGGTTAAATTTGTGAAGAACTGTTACTATTTGGGTCTCTCAGAACATAAGTTTGAAGCACACAACCAGAA
This sequence comes from Homo sapiens, assembly GCF_000001405.40. Lineage (NCBI taxonomy): Eukaryota > Metazoa > Chordata > Mammalia > Primates > Hominidae > Homo > Homo sapiens. The sequence continues at coordinate 79,343,106 of NC_000013.11, forward strand.
GAAACTCAATTCTATCACTGAAAAATTATCAATTTGAAAAATATATTAACAATTTTACTTTCTAATCCATTTGTTGATGTTACGCCTCTAAGTATTCCCACTATCAATGTCATCTCCAGCCCAGAAAGAACCAGAGGAAAAGTTTTATGGTTCCTTTCATACAATGAGATATTAGAAAAAATGAATGTTTAATTACTTTTTCACCTGAGAATGGTATTCCCAACATGAACAGGAAACAACAAGATAAGCAAGATAGTATGGGTAAAAGAAGCCACATGATTTATTGTAGGTTTCCTGAATTAGGATGGCTTCAGTTTTTGGTTTTGTAAAGTATTGTGATTTTTCTTAATCAAGTATATCCAACTTTAAATTAGAAAAGACACACATTTCAAATCAAAATGTAGTTTCTGTATTTTCAACATTTTGAAATGTCATACTACTAACCTTCATTACTAGACATAATCAAGAACTGAGACTAATTAAATGTCATAAATTAGAGTAACTCAGTCCAAAAGAAAGAACCCAAGTCACATAAGTAATTTTTAATTTTCTAGCAGTCACATTAAAAACATAAAAAGAAACAAATACAATTAATTTAATAAAATATTTTGCTTAACCTAATATATCCAAAATGTGACATTTCAACAATTATTGTGATGTTTTACTTTTTTCTTTGTACTACATTTTGAGATCTAGTGTATATTTTACACTTATAGCACATCTCAATTTGGACTAGACACATTCCAAATGCTCAACAGTCAGATGTGGCTATAGACAGTCACATGTGGCTACTAACTGCTATACTAAAAAACACAGGACTAGAGGATCCTAAGCTAGTGAAGAAAGGTACATATCAATACTGAGAAAAAAGGTTCCATTTAATTATCTGTTGAAAAAACTACTGTGCAGCAACACAACTGAATGAACACCTTAATTTCATGTTGATAACTATAGTACCAGTTAAAGTATAAAGTATACCCACCATCTGATGTATGCTCTTCATCTCCAATATTATCACTGACAAATATTTGTTTTACCATTACCAATTATAGTAAATCTTTTTATGACTAGGTAGCATAAGATTAAGTTCACTCCAAATTATAACATTTGCAATTTGGCCAAATCTAACTTTAACATTTTACCTTCTGTGTTTCAATGTGCTTTTCTAAAATTTCTTGTTTCCTTTTCCTTACATCCTGCTGAAGTTTCAATGCCTCCTAGAATCAGGGATCAAAAATATCATTAGAATATTACTAAGGATAAACAATATTATTCAAGAGAAGAGAAATAGTTGTAACTGCAGAAGTCTGTCAACAAAAATTATATGCAAGGCTTTTCTATGTAAAACTTAAAATATGTATGCAAGTTTCAAAGATTAATCACAGGAACCTTTCTTTCAAAGAAAAAATTTTTATTTACCGCTATACTATGGAAAATAAACGTTCAGTGGCAGCCAACAAACACCCTTGTAGTCTTATTTTGCAATAAGCACTGAAAAAACACATACACAAGGAAAGCTTTCCTATATGCAAAAATTTTTTATACTATACCAGTTGTACTTACCTGTTTTTTTTTCTGTGCTTCATTATTATCAACTGCAGAGGTGGAAACAAGTAAGGTTTTCTGTGCAGCCTTCAAAGCAGCTGGATTATACACTGTTTTTGTTAGGCCAGTAGATGTAGACAACACCTACCAATACAAATTCAACTTTTAAAAATATATATCAGCCGTTCATGATATCCTATTTTCTATAAGACTCAACTTTAAAGCACTACTGTTAAACTTCAGCTTCAAAACACACTGAACTAAATGTATTTTATACTTATAATAACGAAATCATATTTGGTGATTTGAAAGGTAGAGTATAAATAATAAGCTCTAAAATTTAAAAAAATGAACACCAAATACCTATAGAAAAAAAAGTAAAGAAAAACATGAAAATGTCAAAAAGAAAAACATTACTATTACTACATCACTGAGAAAGCATTAGTTGTTGAATACATTTACTAATATTTGTAGTGACTAAAGCAGAAGCCACACTCAAGAGCATGGCACAGGAGGAAACTGGTTGCTGTCCCTCAATTTAACACAATCATTTGCAACTTCCAGTACTGAAACATACCCTATTGCATTCATTCTCCAATCCTTTGGTAGCAATGCTCCTTCTGCTTGAACTGACCTTACTCCCCTAAACTCAGCTTAGGTTCAGCCTAACACAATCAAGACCTCTAACAAAGCCTGGATCATTTCTCTTTTCTACCTAGGTCCTTATATGAAATTTTATTTCTTTGGCTATTAGGTAAAAATGCTATTAGCTATTTTTAGTTAGTGTCAGCTATTTAGTAAAAAAAAACGACCTGATAATATATTAATTAATGTGTCTTTTCCCCCGTCTACAATGTAAGGGCATTAACATAAAGACTTGCCTTTCTCTTCTGCGCATCTTCCAGTACCTAAGTCTTGCCACCAACTAATTATGAGGCCACGGGTAAGATTAAGTACCATTCTGGGCCTCAGTTTGCTCATCTATAAAATAAAGAAGATGAACATGATGGTGTCTAAAGTCCTTACAAACCCAAAAATGCATTCCAAGAGGGCAGAGATTTTGCTTGTTTTTTAACTTGGTTCAGTGCTACAAACAGTGCCAGGGCACAGGGTAAGTACTCAAAAAACATTTCTGCACTAAACTAGACTGAAATGACTATAGGTCAGAGTGGACAACCTTTTCTATACAACGGTCAGCTCAAAAAAAAAAAGTATTGGGTATCTTTTTTATCCTTCAAAAGAAAAACAGTTTAAGTTCCACGGGGTGACTGGTTACTGGTTCTTAAAAAGAAGCCTAGGAATCCCTGTAGGGTGATCTACGAATGCTATAAAACTAAACATGAAAGCATGTGTGTGAACACTGCAATTTTTCTAAGGAAAAACATTGTTTTCTCAAGTCATTGTTTCTAAAGGAGTTCATGACCTAAATAAGGTTAAAAGAACTACTCAAGTTTAAGAGTATAAATGAGAAAAGTGGCCCTATTTTTTAGCCACTGAAACATTAACATCTGGTTAACAGGTAAGTAGCAATCTGAAGACTACTTTCTAATCTTTCATCATGAAATCTGATTAGGGAACATCACAAATCGCTATTCTAAGTATTCAAGAAAGTGTTAGCCTCTAAACGAAATAAAAACCTAAAATATTATAATTGTACTAGTTTCATACAGTACAGCTGATATTTAAAAAGAAAGGTTCTTAACAATATTTGATGTGTATTAAAATTTGATCAATTATTATATTTGTGAGACAGGGTCTCACTTTGTCACCCAGGCTGGAGCATAGTGGCCCAGATCTTGGCTCACTGAAACTTCCACCTCATGGGCTCAAGTGATCCTCAGCCTCCCAAGTAGCTGGGACCTCAGCCGCGCACCACCACACCCGGCTAATGTTTTGTATTTTTTGTAGAGACAGGGTTTCTCGCCATGTTGCCCAGGCTGGTCTCAAACTCCTGAGCTCAAGCAATCTTCCTGCCTTGGCGCCCCAAACTGTTGGGATTATAGGTGTGAGCCACCATACTCGACCAATTAAACAAAGATTTTGTTTGTGGTCAGACTTCAGTGACCTTTCTTTGTAATTCTAGAGAAAAATTTCTTCCATGCTACCTAACCACAGCACAAAATGCCAAACCACATGACTATACAAAGACAAGACAATATATTAGTAGAGAAACACAGGATAAACTGAAAACAGAGCCTAATTAAGTTTCACAAACTGTTTTCTTCATGAGGATTCCATAAGTTGAAAAGTTGTGGCCAAAAGAAAAAACTCCTAATTATTTAAGTGTGAAACAATGAATATCGTAACCCAATTTTCCAGTTTTTAATTTATATTATCTTCATAATAAAAGCAGTGAGAAGCCAAGAACAAACCCATATAATTTATTTAACCAAGTATTTCTCCAGTTTCAGTGAGAATACTCCTTTTCAAATCATTTTTGACATGTAGTATCAGACTAAGGAGTGCTGGTTCAAAGTGAATAAAAGTATCTGACAATGATAAGACTCCTTTATTCCTAGAAGTATTCCCATTTCCTTTTTTATCCAGGAACATCCTTCTGTAAAACTAGAACATCCACGAATGTGACTCACTAAGGCTACAACTCAGTGACTGTAAGACAAACTATCATTTATGTACCCCTACTAAAGAAAAAAAGGCTGCCAATCATAACCTGTGTCTAACAATTATAAGACACAGCCCAACGTCAGAGGTGTTAAAATGTAAAAATGTGACTTATAAACAATGAACTATATTGTTCACTATTTGAATCTATCTGGTTCTGGAGATTAGACAGTTTGGATAGTAAGAGACACATGTATTTTCAAAAGAAGAAAATCTATTAAAACTGAAATTAGTGGAGGGAAGTAACGAGCCCAACAGAAAAGAAGATACTCCAATTCCTAAGAACAGAGACAGTGACTTCTCCAAACAACCACATTTCTATATTCCAAATGCATTTCTATATGTGCTATAATTTTTACATATTTACTTCTATACATCTTACTACACTTACTTAATCCCAACTGTGTGAATTATTTTGAATTTTCTATATCTACAACCATGTCATCTGCAAGTAAACAGTTTTATTTCCAATCTTTATATGGTTTATTCTATTTTCCTTCCTTAGTGCACCCATGAGTCTCTCCAGTACAATACTAAAAAAAATAAAAGTGATGCAAATGGACATCCTTGTCTTTCCCAACCTCAAGGAAAAACAGTCAATATTTCACAATTGAATATTATGTTAGCTGTAGTTTTTTTTCTTTTATTGCAGATTTCCTTCATCAAATTAAAACAGTTTTTCTCTATTCCTCCTTTGCAGAGTGTTTAATGTAACTAAGTAACAGAACACTTTCTCTACTGAGCTAATCATCTAGAGTTTTTTCCTCCCTCATTCTACTAACATCAATTAAACTGATTTTTCCAATGGTAAATCAACCTTGAATTTCTGGAATAAATACTACCTGGCCATGAATGATTATGTATTTCATGTATCACTGGACATTTGCTAATATTTTCTCTAGGATATTTGTGTCTATGTTCATGACAGATGTTGGTCTGTAATTTTCCTTTCTTATAGTATATTGTCAGGTTTGGTATGCTGAACTCAGAAAATAAGTTGAAAAGTATCATGTGCTGTGTTGTTAAAATGTATAGCACTAATACCTCTTATTTTCCCTAAAGAGAGGGAGGTTACAATCCATTAACACCTCCTTATTTTATTTCCTATGTAAAATAATACCAGCCACAATAACTATAAGTAATCGTAAAGAAAGAGAAAAACAGCTGTTTTTCATAGATAAGAATGGAAGGGAAAAAGTATTTTGTAAAATTAAGTTATCCGAGTATGATTTTTCAATAACCAATGCCTAAGTAGAAATTAAATACAAATATAGTTATGATGTCTAGCAGCCACACTCACAATAAATAGCTCCAACAGGTTTTTAAAGCAGAAATACATTGGTTTAATGCAATCAAAAGACAGTATGAGGAGCTATGTGTAGGAAACGTATTAATACAGTTACTGTATGGTCAGTTTTCATAGTAAGTAGTCACCTGTTCAGTAAATCTGAATGTTCGTTTATGATATTCACTTAAAGCAGCACACAGATGTGCGTTCTGTATCAAACCTGAGAATTCTGGTGAGAAGAATGGGATTTTGGTTTAAAGTTAAGTTTATACATACTTTTAGATATTAATCGTTTTTAAATTTCAAGAACACAAAGTATGTTTTAATGCACTGATCTACCTTATCTTTTTTGTAGCTTTCAAAATTTTATTCTTTTAATTGACAAAAACTGTATAGAGATGTCCCTTAACTTATGATGGGGCTATATCCATTGTAAGCTGAAATACCATTTAAGTTGAAAATACATTTTCAACTTGTAAGTAATAAATGCATCATCAAATTGAAAAACTGTTAGTCAAGTCACCGTAAGTTGATGACTGTCTGTGTATTTATCATGTACAACATGCTGTTTGAAATATATACACTGTAAAATGGCTAAGTCAAGCTAATTAACATTTGTATTACGTCACTTTTTTTTGTGGTGAGCTGCTTTCTTGGCAATTTTCAAGAATGCAACACATTGTTATTAACTATAGTCACCACGTTGTACTATAGATATCTTTAATTTATTTCTTCTATCTAACTGAAGTTTTATATCTTTTGACCAACATTTCCCAATCCCCTGTCCTCAGCCACTGGTAACCACCATTCTACTCTCTGCTTCTATGAGTTCAACTTTTTAAGATTCCACATATAAGTGAAATAGACAAAGGGATTAAAAGAAACAAAGATTAAAAAACTTGCAGAGAAATATTTTAACAAACATCAAAGTAAAAAATATGTACAGCTAGTAATGAATTTTTGCTACACAAATAGCTTAGTTACTACAAAGTTCAGCAAAGCTAATACACTCAAATAAATTAATTTCATATTTTCCTGAAAAAAAAATGCAGGTAATAATCCTGAGAGGCCACTGAATTAAAAAATAAAAATTAAAAATAGTCAATAACAGTTAAGAAAAAAAAACTATGATAAATCCCACTCTTTTTTTTTTTTTTGAGACAGAGTCTAGCTCTGCCACCCAGGCTGGGGTGCAGTGGCGCCATCTCGGCTCATTGCAACCTCCACCTCCCTGGTTCAAGTGATTCTCCTGCCAGCCTCCCAAGTAGCTGGGATTACAGGCGCCCGCCACGAGGCCCAGCTAATTTTTGTATTTTTAGAAGAGACAGGGTTTCACTGTATTGGCCAGGCTGGTCTCGAACTCCTGACCTCGTGATCTGCCTACCTCGGCCTCCCAAAGTGCTGGGATTACAAGCGTGAGCCATGCGCCCAGCCAAATCCCTCTAAATCTTTTAACTAGCAAAGTTACACAACAAATTCAAATTTCAAAAATCCAAGGAAACATATTAAGATTTGCTTAGCATCTACACAATGGCACCTGCTAAATCAACAGGTGAAGTTTCTCTATAACATGCAATATTCTTTTAATTATACCACACAATTTTCCTTTTAAAAGTTCCATGGTATAGATGTTAATATATCATCATGCAGAGACCAAGATATATTTTTACATTGCAAAAACCACAAGAACAATAACATCCTGTATCATAAATCTGATATTTAAAGCTGATATGATAAAGAAGATTAAATATTCCACTGGTTACGCAGTTTGCCTTCTTAGAATTTAGAAGGGATTCAGCAAGATAATTTGAACGGTCTTAAGTCTGTTTTAAAAAACTAACCAGGACAGTATACACAGATGTAGCCCTTTATTCTTCATGAATTTCTTTAGTAAGCAGAGGCACTCAAACATAATTTATCAAATCTATTCACATAATAACTAAATACCTCTTGCAATATCTTCATATTTACCAGCAGCAATTACGTTTTAACTTTCCTCTCTTCTAGCCTCCTCACGAAAATGGGGTCTCAGGATAAAGAATAATCACTAAAGGTTTTACTGTGTGTTGTTGATAGGGAAGGTATAAAATGTTACATTTGTGTATTTATTTAGTTTAATAATGACATAGGATACTGTATAGATACAAGCTTTGGGTTTTCCCCTGCCTTCATTTTTTTTAAAAAAAGAATCTTTCAACTAATATTTGATGATGGGGAACATTCTTCTATTCTTTCTAAGACTTCTTTGAATCACTGCCCTGTAAGTATTTTGGACCCAAACCCCCTAAGGATTAGGGGAACAGAAACAACAAAAATAAGCAAAAATAAAATGTTTCTCTGTAAAGACACTCACTGAAGATGAATAAAAGTTACATACTTACTGTTTTCCTTAATAGGCTGTTTACGGTATTTATCAAAAATATTTTTCCCCATAAATAGCTTGCTACCATAAATGATTTTTTTCCCATAAAAATTCAGTTAGTAGTTTATTGCATTAGCATAATATATGGGTATATATATTAGTCTATGCATTAGTAAAGTTATATTATCAACTACAAATTTGTACTCACAATACACTGCAAAAATTTTATAAAAGCTATGAGTACACACTTCAATTTCAAAAGTCCAAATCTGACATTACAGACTCCAAATATAACTGAGCATTTTAGATGTCTCTAGAATTTCTCAGTAGTACACTAAGTACAGCTGAACTTAGTGTTAAATTTTATTTTACATTTAATTGACAGAACTGTACATATTTATGGGGTACAGTGTGATGTTTTGATACATATATACATTATGTAATAATCAAAATCTATCACCTCAAACACTTCCAGTGTTTCTTTTTTCTGAAATACTTATTTTCAACGAGGATAAACCTAATCCAAGTAAGTATTTGATACTGCTAAATTTAGTAGCACAGACTAAGCAGCACAGAAATTCCAAGGAGGAGGTGGGGATAACAGAAAAATCTGGAGGTTTCATGGGAGATGTTAGAGAGACTTTCACTCTTTAAATAATGACTGGAATTTAGTTGGGGCGGCGGGGGGGGAAATGCACTCCAGAAAAATCACCACCAAAAAAATAAAATAAAATAATAAAAGTCAGGAAAGGCCAAAGGAAAACGAGCAGAAAAGTACTCCCTTGGGTAAAAAGACTAGAGCAGAAGTAATAGAACCAGAATTATTGAGTTATCGATGAGCTGTGAATCAAGGAAAGTAATTTAGCTGAGAAACTCAAAGTTTCTATAATGAATTAACGCCAAAATAAGTCTGAGTGTAAGATGGTGACAGTATAAACTAGACGAGGGGAATTCCAGGATGCCAGTTAAGACACTGCACCCAGAGGCTAGGGAACTGAAGGTGGCAGAAAAAGAAGTGGTCTACAAACACAAGCAAATGATTGTAAGGCTTTTGGATCACACAGCTTAGAAAATGGTGTTATCACTTTCTGAGCTAAGGGCTAGGATAAATTAATTTATATAGGAAATAATGAATTCATTTTAGGCACATTATGCCCGAAGTAATGCTGAGATGCCCAAGAGCAAAGTCTGATACACAAACTCAGATTCAAATACCTAAAACTGCCAAAGTTTAACATTGTAAATAAAGAAAATAATATACTGAAGAATATAGTGAAGACAGCAGGGCAGCTATCTCACTGATGCATTATCTCTGAAATTGATTCCCAATCTTCAGACTGAAAAGAGCCATGGACTAAAAATAGGAGCCCCAAATTCTAGTTCTGGCTCAGTGACTCACAGTATACAGATGAAATCATAACACTGTTTGGGCCTTGACTTTAAGATAAGCATATAGAACTAAGAAAGATTATTTAATTCTCACATTCTGTGATTTCATATGCCTCAAATAAAATCAAAGACAAAGTATTTACTCATACCTAAACAAAAAAAAAAAATAACATCTACACAGAACTATAAGATATATCCATAAATGGTCTTGATTTAATAAATATTTACCCCCCTTCATTTAAAAAAAAAGAAATGACTATATGTATTGCTATGCTACCTCTATTACTGTTTAGTAATAAGTGAAAAACTTACATTTACATCATCCTTTCCAGTTTACAAAAATATTTGTAAATAAATGATTTTATTTGATCTTCAGAAAACCCCATGAGCAAGATAAATATTACCATCACCATTTTACCGATGAGTAAAAAGATTCAGAAAAATTAAGAACACTGCCCAACGTCATGCAGTTAGTAAGTGAAGAGCCAGGGCTCAAACTCAGGTGAAATTCCTAATCATGGCCCTTTCTATTAGGCTGCCAGAGTTGTCAAATCAAAATGCACAGTATCTCTAAAGAAAACAAAGTAAATAAAAAGAATAAAACAAAGAAAAGGAATGGAGTACATGGAAATATAGTGGGAGGCAAGTATTAAAATGCTGATGCAAAAGTAAAAAAAGGAAAATATTTTTCTTTTTCAGCAAATGGAAACCAAAAGGTAGGAAAAGATACAGATACTATTAAGAAGCAAGAGTTTAGAACTATGAAAAAAAATTAAAAATTAAGATGCCACCTGAAAACATTTATGAAGCCAAGACAAACACATCATGCTATTCTTCTTACCTTTTCAGTTGCTGAAACAGATGGCTTTGATACAAAACCCAACCTGTCCTTCACAGATAACTTAGTTACATTCTAAAAAAATTAAAATGGACATATTCAGTGTTTCCCCAAACATATAAAAGTCTGTTGGGATCTTGAACATTCTGATTCTACTAATATATACAGAGTCTATGAGTATACCAATACTAACCACAAAAACTTGGTCCTTCTTAAAAGAGACAGAAAGAAAATATGTGGGAAAACAAAAATAAACAGTATGCAATATTATTCAATCATGAAAAATGATGTAAACTAAGAGGTCTGAGCCACGTGGTTGCTAAAGTCCCTGCCACTGACACAGAATAAATTAGGAGAAAATCTCAAATTTTAAAAATTAAAATATATGCCCACTTACTGAGCTTAAAAATAGTGCCAACTTCTTCTAAAGTATGTTTATTTTATATCCAAATATACTGTATTTGGTGATAATTTGGGATGATAGGACTGGGAATTTTTTAAATTAACTAATAATTTACCAATAGACATTCTGCATGTCCTTGCAGAAATTCAGCATCTTACTCTTCAGGAATTATCTAGGAAGACTACTTTAATAAGGTGGCATCCACTAGCTAAGTAGGACACTACATCCTAACTCTATTTTACACAGCAAATGCTGAAACATCGGGAGACAAAGGAAAGCTAAGTTTCAGAGACTGAGAATGTAGAAACAAGAAACTGCCACTCAAGTGTTGAAGGAAGTGGGAAGGAAATGATATATGGAGAAAAGAATCCCAGAGTCAGGAATAAGTGATGCAAAGTTATGAGAGAGCAGTCTAAGTACTTAAAACAGTATAATATCAAGCATGCTTAACTTGATGGTTTAAGCCTTCCCTTACCATAAGCTTTTAGTTTAGTTCAGTCTACTACACAATTATCTCCGGAACAGAATTCTAATTAAGTAAAAAGATGATGGAAAAAATAAGATTTAATGTACTCAACTTCACTCTTCGGGCAGTTTTGCTGACATGTATCTCCTCCACAAAGTGAGAGAGAAATCTTTCTCATAAATATTAACTGGAGAGAGGAATTTAAGATTTAAATACTATAGGAAAAGTAGAGACTGAGAAAATGTTATGGTAATGGTAAAAATTAAAAAAAAAAAAACAACCTTATAGGTGGGGTTCAAATATGTAAAGACTATCATATTTCTATGTAAAATATATACAATTAACTATAATTCAAATCACCAAGGGAAACTAAATTACTGAGAACCTATTACGGGCACAATCGTAAGACCTTTGCTTTACCTGAGGAAGGTCTGAAGAGGCACTCTGGGCTTCTGCAGGTTCAATAGTACTTGAAGGTACTGGACCCAGCCGCTCTTTGACTGACTGCTTCACAACAGGCAAAATGGGCTGCTGGACTAAAGGCTGCATTACCTCAGAACAAGGAAAAAATGTTAAACAAGTTGATTCATTCAAAAGGATGGAAAGTGACCTGTGTTATTTTGTTACTACATTGCCCATGCAGAGAAAGTTTTTAAAATGCAGCTTATAGTCAAAACCTAACTGCCTTCTAATTTCATCCACACATATACAAAGATGTTTTCTTTGCATAAAATAACTTATTTACTGGAATAAATTAAAGTCCAACTTTCAATATCTTCTAACAATCAAAACCCATACTGTTGTAATATACCTCTATAAACACTCTAACATTACACACCGATGGGGGTTGGGACAAAAAGGAGGGAGAAAGGGGAGAGGGGAAAGAAGAGAGAATCTCTAAGATGAACCTACAGTCTAAATTTCTGGAATATACATAGCTGAGTACTCCTATCTGCCACGGACTATTCCATATGTCTCACATACACCATGCTGTTCTTTCAACTAGCAATTAACATCACAATTATGAGAGAACAGGTTAGAAAGGTTGAGTAAATTTTTCAAGTCTTTACAGGTAACAGAAGCTAAATGCAGAACCAGGGTATGAACTCAGGCCTACTTGATTCCAATGCCTCTACTCGTAAACGCTATGCTAAGAGCTTTCTAAGAAATGCGCGTACTTTTACACAAATTCCTCTCTTACCTTTGGAGAAGTAGTTTGTAACTGTTGGGTGCTTCCTTCTCTGTGCCAATAAACCTTAATAAAGCGATTGTTTAATACTGCTTCCGTACTTGATATTGCTTTCTTTGCTTCTTCGTATGTTGCAAATTGGATTAGGGCACCTTCAGGATCACCATTATAAGCAACCTAAGATTTAAAATATTAAGAACAGTGAATTTCCAAAGGAATCTGTTGCTTCATAGAGTAAAATTCCCCAGTAAGTGAAATACTGGTCCTTCCAAGTAAGATTCTGTATTTATACTTCTTGGTATCTGGATTAGTAGACCACAGTCTACTTTTACTCCAGAAGAAATAGTAACCAAGGATTGTTCACAGCATAAAAAGAGTTCCTCTATATAATAGCAGAGAAAGTCGACTGCATAAATGTTACATATAGGCATTCAAAGTGTTTCTCTTTTTATTCCCAATTTTAATAGCAACTATGAGAAACAATCCCTATTGTCAATAAATGACATGGCAAAGATCCACAGAATCTGAAGAAGGCAGTAAATTACTTTGCAAGGGGTTATCTCTAATAAAAAATTACAGAAAAATCCATCTGAACAATTGCCCAAATTTGTAATTCTCACATTTCCAAAAGCACAAGAAAATTTAAGAACAAAAAAAAAGAGACCATGTAACAACAGCATCAATCACATTTGATACATGAGAAAACCGAGATTTCAAGGAATGTGATTCTATAGACACTTACAGCTAATAAGTAATAAATCCAAGACTTTTCACTTCAAATTCCTATTCTTTCAATAATAGAGTTTTCCAAAGTGTGGTATATAAACCACTGGTGGTGTGCAGCAATACAGAAAAGAGATTAACAGTGGCCTGGGCCAGGCATGGTGGCTCATGTCAGTAATCCCAGCACTCTGGGAGACCAAGGCAGGAGGACTGCTTGAGCCCAGGAGTTCAAGGCCAGCCTGGACAACATATTAAGACCCCACTGGTACAAATAATAATTGAAAAAATATTAGCCGGGTGTGGTGGCACACAACTGTGGTCCCAGCTACTCGGGACGCTGAGGCAGGAGAATCACCTAAGCCCAGGAGGTCGAGGCTACAAAGAACCGTAATCATGCCACCTCACTCTGGCCTCAGTGACAAGAGTGAGACTCTGTCTCAAAAAAAAAAAAAAACAAACAAAAAAAAACAAAAAAGTAGTTGGAATCAAACTGCCTGGCTCAAACTTTGGCAGCTACTCTCACATGAACATGATCAAGTTACTTAACCTTTCTGGGCCTTGTTTTCTTTTTCTACAAATGAGAATAACCATATCCACTCTTCAGTGTTAAGAATTAAATAATTCACTTAGAACAGAGATTGTACACAGTCAGAAGTATTCAATAAACATTAATTATAACTATAAAGATAATTTTGGTAACATTTTAATAATTATACATTTTTTAAGACTTTATAAACATCAATTTCATCACTATGTTTAATTAGCATGAAGCTAAAGAGTTTTGAAAATTGATTTTGAAAAACATGTTTTAAGAACAATAATACAGGTAGTACACAGACATGGCAAAAGAACCAATCAACAGAAGATTTCAACCTCACTTGTAATTGAGTAAATGCAAATAGAAGCAATAGTGAGGTATGTTTTGCCCCTCAGCTTTAAAAAAAATTTTAAATATTACCAGTGTAGTTAATTGTGTGAAGAATATTTTGAAAACCTTTTTATGACTAGATATAGTGGTAGATCAAATGAAATTGCCATAAAAAGACAACTCAAAGATATTCAAGATTAAGTAAATAACCACAGGGTAATGTGTATACTATGGGCTCATAAATAGTTTTAAGTTTGTGTACAGATAAATAGACACAGAATTGTGTAACAATCTAAAATAACACATGATAAACTGTTAACAATAATGTAATTATAGATGGGCAGGGGAATGGAATAGACAGTTGAAAGGGAACCATTTCCTTTAAATTCTATGTATATATCTCTGTTGCCCTACCTGAATCAAACATGAATCTTTTTCCCGCTCTATTACTTTTATAGTACTTTTCAATGGCAAGAAAACAAAACTTTCCAAAACATCCTAAGTTGTTAGGATGAATTGTATCCTCTAAAATTTGTTTTTATTAAATTATAAAATATAATTATTTTAATTGCAAAAAGAACACCATACAAAATGGGGGAAAAATTCAACATACTATTTCAACACTTTCACCATATCACATAATATAAACTCAATACTAAAAAAACACCCAAGTTACATATACCCAAGCCAAGGTCTAATTATAGGTGCAGTCAAATACAAATTACTGTTAGTGTTACTTACCTTGAAGAATATTCAAAAGTGGTAAAGAAAAAGTAAATGTTTAAACTAATTACAGATTACAAGGTATCTGGGCCCCAAAAGTCTCTATTAAGTGCATCCCACCATAGGAGTGACAAAAATCTGACTAAAATTTCTGCTGAAATGATTTTGAGAAACTGAGGAACTGAAAACTATTGTAAGATTGGATTTTACCAGTGTGATTAACTTTGCTGTAGTTTTATGACAACCTTTATTAGGTAAAAAGTTTATGATAATATGATCAATTGAAACACTAAAAATTGTATTTTTTCCTAAAAGGTAGAGTTCCATTTCATGTCCAATTTTCCCAATTCAGAATAACAATTTTTTTTTTTTTTTTTTGAGACAGAGTTTTGCTCTTGTCACCCAGGCTGGAGTGCAGTGGCGCAATCTCGGCTCGCTGCAACCTTAGCCTCCCAGATTCAAGCAATTCTCCTGCCTCAACCTCCCGAGTAGCTGGGATTACAGGTGCCTGCCACCACACCGAGCTAATTTTTGTATTTTTAGTAGAGATGGGGTTTCACCAGGTTGGCCAGGCTAGTCTCGAATTCCTCACCTCAGGTGATCCGCCCGCCTTGGCCTCCCAAAGTGCTGGGATTACAGGCGTGAACCACCATGCCCAGCCTTAAAATATTTATTTATAAAGGTAGTTTTCTTATTACATTAAGTTCCCTAAACAGAAAGAAGAGATAACAAAACCATTTCATGGCTCTTACCTGTAAGTTAACCAAGGTTCCAAATCGACTAAAATGTTCATTAAGTTTGCTGATATTATTTAATTCTGGAGGAACTTTTCTAAGTTCAAGCTTGGTATTTTCATTTCCAAATTGAACCTTCTTCTGAAAGCCTGGGCTGTTTGTTCTATTAAAATTTGGTCTGCAAACAAAATTCAAGTTAGTCAATACATTTATAAATCCTGACCCTAACCAAATACAAGGGAATAAAGTTTAACAAAATAGATATCCAATTAAGTTCAATTTTCCCCCAAACTGAAATTACTGGTTGATAAAGGAAATTTAAATTTTCTTCCAACAATGAAGTTTCCAAATGAACACTGTTAGTATCTTTCATGGAAGCCAACTGAGAAGGGTTCTGCCATATCATTTGTTACTTTCCACTTCTGATCCACCTCTACTTAACATTCCTATCAGGAAAAGTCTCAATATCCTCTTTTAGTCAATTTGCATATATAACCTTTATTCTGATTCTGTAAAAGTCAGCTTACTAAAAAATATCCTATCTTAAAACTTTATGTTTTAAATTTGATTTTAAATTTTATTTTCTTTGATGACAGTCTCAACCTCTTTCCCGCTTTATTTAAAAAAAGAAAAAAAGAATTGTTGGAACTATAAAGAATACATTTTGACACTTGAAGAAAGGACAAAACTGTGGCCTAGAGAGGTTACTCTGCATTAAATCACAGAATTAATCACAAACAACTAGAAACTATCCATTATTAAGTAGATGTTAAAGCTCTAAAAGTGATCCTAGTCTCTCTTCACAGATTTATTTATAAATGAATCACCTCACACATATCTTAACATTCTGATTCCTTACCCCTTTATCTGAAGCTCTTTCTTGACCATTCAATGCCTAGACAGCCTCTCCAACCCCCACAAAAGCCCTTTCTAGCTCCTACCTAGCAGGAACTGCCTACATATGAAAGTCTCTTGACAGGTCTGATCTATACCTCCTTCCTCTAATGATGAGAGGCTCATGACTATCCTGTATATAGCTAGTATTCAACAGGTCTAAGTTAAAGAGTGGGTTTTTTGGAGGAGGGTAAATGATAAGAGGAAAAAATTATGCCCTGAACTACCACACCATTTCTGTAAGAAAATGCTTTTCTAACATCAGACAACTAACTTGCCAATTTTTAGAAAACTCACACTTGGGGATTGCTTACAGAACAGAGTAACATTTTTGGAAGAAACCAAACCATATTGTCATAATAATACAGAAATGATCCTGAAAATCAATGCACAATTATACTCCTCAATTTTCCTGGCCACCTTACTTATCAAACCAAGTCTTCTTTGTAGGAACTCCAGGCTCTCCAGAACCAATGGTTCTTTTCCTTGATTCTGAGTCCACTACTATCCTCATACTGCTTTTATTGGGAGGCTTTTCTGTTTTAAAACAAAAGAAAATGAAAAAAATAAGCATAGGTTAATATTTTCTATTTATCATAGATACCTTCCTCATACAGGAAAATTTCTGGCTTTTGTCTAAATATATATATATATATATAATTTTTTTTTTAGAAGAAATAGAAATAAATGTATAGTAGCTCCCCCTTATCCAGTTTCATTTTTACGATTTCAGTTATCTCTAGTCAACCACAGTCCAAAATTATGGAAAACTACAGAAATAGTAAACAATTCCTAAGTTTTAAACTGCCTGCAGTTCTGAGTAGTGTGATAAAATCTCACACCATCCTGCTCCAACACTTGATCTCATCATGTAGGCATTTTATCATCCCCTATCATCCCAAGAAGGGTAAATACAAAAAGATATTTGACAGAGAAAGACAGGGACCATTCACATAACTTTTATTATAGTATATTGTTATAATTATTTCATTTTATTATTAGACATTGTTGTTTAGCTCTTACTGTGTCTAATTTATAAGTGAAACTTTATCACAGGTGTGACTGTATAGGAAAAAGCATAGTATATGTAGGGTTTGGTACTCTGTGGTTTTACACACGAGGAGTCTTGGAACATATCACCCACAGACAAAGGGGAATTACTGTACATTCAAATACAGTAATCTAAGGGTTTTTTCAAACTTATTTCAACATATTCATTTCACAATTAACTATGAAAAAGAATCAATTCTCACATGCCAAATTAAAATGTGATTCTGTAGGTCACTTCTTTGTAGATAAAACCCAAGTCATTGTTCCCATCTACCATCACCCTCACCACAAATATATATATATATATCAATGCACAAATGAGAAAATAATCACTTTGAGGCTTTAAGTTCATAGTTTTGAAATCAAATGCACAATCTAAAAGATTCAAAACTTTACACTAATCCAATAATCTTTGAGAAGTGAAAGGTTAGAGTTATGATTGAAGTGAGCTGCTTTTAAATATGGAATAGACTCATAAAATATGAATGTAATGAAAGCATACTTGCTTTAAAAAAGGAAAAGATTCAAGTCTAAAATACAGTGTAAAAGAGCTGTAAAAGTCTGTTACTTTCAACATTTTATATTTACTTACATGGCATGTAATGAGCATAGTACATTTAACCTGTTATTCCCAAATGACTCCAAAGTTTAAAACATGCAAACCTTAATCCACATAGAAAAATGTAACTTAAAAACTCCTTTTTTATAGATGGCAAAATTGATTTGTCTAAAATCCTATTTTTACATATTTCTAAACACCTAACTAACCAAAAGAACTGAAGATCTGTTTCAGCACAATATCTCTCATGGCCACAGCTATGGTCTCCTGCAGGAGGAGAGCATATACTCAATTCTAAATTTTCAACTTCTTTGTTCTCTCTGGAAATCCTACAGGTATCTCAAAACTCACTATGCAGAACGTTCAAATTATTTTCATATTAAGTCTATCTTTTATTTTTCTTAAACATTTCTATTAATGAAACTACCATTTTCCCAATCATCCCAGTCAAGTCATATTTGATATATGACTACCCACATATGCCATACATACAGAGACTCAAATCAACGCTCTAGACTCCTGCTGCTTTCCTCCATTTTCAACCTTTCCCAGGACACTGATACCTCCCATCAACATTCAAACATTACAGCTCTAATTACTCCATTTTAAAAAAAAGAAACTCTCGTAAAACCAGTTTTCCCTTTAGCAACAACATCTCTCTCCATACTCCCACAGCCCTTTCCTAATCAATGTCCACACTTACTAACTTTGCTTCCTTAACACCCACTCACTAATCCTCTGAAAACTGGCAGTTGCTCCCATTACTTCACTTTACTTGCTCGTGCTAAAATCACTCATGTCCTCACCTGTTGCTTAAGCCTATGAATACATCCCAGTCCTCTTACTGGACCTCTCAGGAGAATTTGCGGCTGTTGATCATCTTCTTTTCCATCTTAGGTATTATATTCCCTGGGTTTTTAGGAATCCCCACTCCTTGCTTTTGTCTGCAGCTTTTGGGCTTCATTTCTAAGTTTTCTATAAAGTTCTCCTTTCTCTGTCCATTTACTTTGATGCTGACATTTGTCAAGTAGTTATACTTGGGTTTTCTCATCTCACTTTACATAGCCTTCCTAAAATAACTTTCTTATCTACTGCCATGGCTTCATTCATCTTTTTCAGTGATTCTCAGTGGGGATGGGGAGAGGAAGATTTTAGAAACGCACGAGAAAGGTTTTTAAAATTATGTTAAGTCAGACCTACAGATTTTGGTATGGCTCCTTCTATCTCCCTTTACCTCCCACTGGTACTAATGGGACAGAAGAAAAGATTAAGGACCAAAGTTCTACATATGCATGATTCCAAAATCTGTATATTCTAGTCAACTGTCTCTCATGGGCCTCAGACTTCCATATCCTATTTCCCACTGGACATTTCTACTCAAATGCCCCAGGGGGACAAGAAGTTAAACACTTTCAAAACTAAATTTATCTTTCTGTCAAAGCTGTCCTTCTCAATGAATGATATTATCATCTGCCCAATTATCCAGGGCAGGAAACGGGTGTCTAATTTCATCCACTTATTACCCCTATTCTAAGCCTCCAAATTAAATAAGTTACAAGTTTTGTCAATTCTTTCCACTAAACTTATTTTTTTCATTTCTATTATTACCCTAGCCCAGCTACTATCACCTCTATTCTAAAATTCTGTAAATGCTTTTAATTAGCCTCTTACCTCCCTCTACATTACTTACTTCTTCTCTTACAGTCACAAAATTCCTTCAGTTTCTCAAAAGTATCACAGGGTACATAGGCTGTATCTATTCTCTTCCTCTGTCTAACTCTGACTTATCCTACATCTCTAGGAAACATCCTGTATCTAGCACGTGCGATGTTTCTCTGTCCAGTGGTACCTTCCAAGGACCGGTTCTGCAAAAGGATTTTTGGTCTTATTCCTGTCTCCCAAGTCTGGTTCACCAGCCCTTTTGGAGAATCTGTGACCTATCCAACATCTTTTGTTTTTTACTTTAATATGTTCCGTACCTGAAGGTTCACTAAGAGAGGGAATAATGTGTTTTGCCTCCAGTAATTGAAATGGGTTTGCTCCATCTCATCTGTATTCTCTAATTCGGAATCCCTTTCATTGATATATATTTAAAAGAAGGGTATTAAAAACACAGAAGCAAGTTCCTCTTGGTATATACTCAGCAAATGATCTAATATTAAATAGTTTTATGTAATGTATTTTTCCCCAATAATCATTTTAATGAATTGTTTTTCTGCCTAAAATTGTCAGCACTGGTTTTGTTGACTAGAAATGGAAAACTACTTAACCCTTCCTCCTCCCTATATCCAATCATGACATCATCCATCAAGTTTTCCACCTCCTTAGAACTCTGCAAAAAATAACTGTCAGGGCCTCTAGGTAACTTTTACATTAGTAATTTCAATGCATCAAAGGGCCCAAATTTCTTTCCTTTTGCTGAATAATTGCCCTCAAAATTTAAAGCAGTAAGCATAAAAGTTTAACTATCACATAATAATAAGTCTATGACAAATTTAAATTAAGGCCATCTATAGGCTATTAGGAACGTGTAATAATTATATAATTAACAATAAATAAGCTTTTTATGTATCTGTCACAATCCAGGACAGTAAATTTAAAATCCAAACTGGGAATAGATGAGAACACATGGTGGGAGGAGGGAGAGGACTAAAAAGAGATAAGAAAACAGAAGGACTAAAGGCAATCCTCAATTTGGATGGGTTGCTAAATCAGTTGTTTGGTACATAAAATCACTGTTATTAATGGAAAAATCAATCCTAAACTAGCTAACAAAAATGGTACATGATGTATCTAAAGAAGAGTACTAAAATAATCACTATGTACAATAATGATTCTATGAGAAAAAGCATTCAAATTTCTAAGTAGGTATGACAGACATTTCTCTCTCAACAGGATCACTTTCTGTAACAATATGCATTAAGAGCTGAAATTACCACACATCCAACTTGTACATGGTAAGATTTAAATGCAAGGGGTTTGATCCCCTTGCTTCTCTTGATCACAACCAGAAATTGCCCTAGCATGTGAATGGATCTAATAAATATTGACCTGTAGTAGCATGTATTTACAGCTCCAAAGCAGCAAGGTAGAAAGAAATGACTTTAGTGGGAATCCCCAGTAAAATGTTAATTGAAGTGGAAATTCCCACTACAAGGTTCCCAGTAAAAGCAAGGAATATTGGTATGAGGAAAACAAACTACATGCTAAATAGTTATCCAAAGAAGAAAAGAGGGTTTCTGTGAACTAGCCAGGTGGGAGACAGGTTCAGGATATAGGTAAACATCACACAACAGTTAAAATCTTAAGTGGCCACTTTTCAATTACAAGGAATCCATATATCCCTCACATACAAGCTGTTAAAAAAAATCTTTTTTCTATTGTTGTTAATAATAGCTATTGAAATTCCTCAAAGAGAATTTAAGAGGAATGGGTATCCACATTAAATGTTGTCCTATGATCTAAAAGAGGATATAAATCTGAATTAAAACATTCCTTACACCTTCATTACAAAAAGTCCTTTAAACATTCAAGGAAGATGCTCAGAATCTGATAGCTAGCTTCCAATGAATAAAAGAAAAAACACAAAGTATATGTAAGTAATCACACATTTACCAAACTCCATTAGGCACTGTTACTTACTAACTAAGACTTTTATTCACAACTGACGAAGCATGATTTTTTAATTCTGACTAGGTAAGACAAGAAAAGACTGGAAAGAAAATGGGATTTAAAACTTAATTGAGGTGGTTAGGGAAAAAGATATATTTTTTGTTAGCCCAGGAAATATTTTCCATTATGTCTGACAATCCTTCATTTCCCTATATCAAATGTGATCTGTAGCAAATACTGTATTTTCCAAATTAATGTGAACTTTCTCCCTCTGAATCTTATTAGTTTACATTTACATCTCTAGTGTAGCACTCTAGATGTAGGGCACTCTAGATGTAGGGCACTTTGCTGCCCTAGCTTGTGACTATGTCAACCCAAATTGTACCTTTTAGAAATTTTATCCAAAAGTCTGTCTCCTCTAAGAAAATTTTAAGAGTCATTTCTTAACACATGATATCCTTTGCTTAAAAATATACGCAAACTAATATCAAATTTTAACAGGTGAAGAGTCAGCAAAAATAAATACCAAGCACTATTTGATTTTTCAAACTAGGAATAAACTTATCTTTAGGAATTAAAGCGTTACTCTCAAGATTACAAATGATACAAATTACTAAAAAAAAAAAGGCTACCCAAGAAAATGTGCTTCTTTAAGGAAATTCCTTTCCTTCTTGGACAGTGTAATAATTGTATAATAAAGTGTCACCTCTACCACAAATACAGAATTACACAGTATATTTTCTCCAACGGGGGAACGAAGGATACAGGGAACAAACAAAATCGCCATCCCAGCCAGTCACGGGGGCTCAAGCCTATAATCCCAGCACTTTGGGAAGCCAAGGCGGGCGGATCACTTGAGGTCAGAGAAGTTCAAGACCAGCCTGGCCAATACGGTGAAATCCCATCTCTACTAAAAATACAAAAACTAGCTGGGCATGGTGGCAGGCACTTGTGATCCCAGTTACTCAGGAGGCTGAGGCAGGAAAATCACTTAAAGGGGAGGCAAAGGTTAGAGTGAGCTGAGATCACGCTACTGCACTCCAGCCTAGGCCACAGAGTGAGACTCTGTCTCCAAAAATAAAATGAAATAAAATAAATCACCATTCCTTATCCAACCCCAATAAAGGCAAGACCAACTGTTCTTTATAAATGTTTTCCCACTGTTTATATTATGAAAATGACAGGAAGGAAAGATTAATTATAGTACCTCTGGGTGGCAAATCCATATCCCCTGATGTTAGTCCTATCAAGTTGGGCCTTTGTGCATGCACTCTGTGTCTATACATAGGTCTGGAAGTGTTTGTTATGCTTGGGGCTTCAGGATTGTAGCCATCTGTGTCATATGTATCTGGTAATACAAAAACTGTAATTAAAAAACAATTATAAAACTCCACTTGGTAATTTTTTAATATTGATAAGAGAAAAAGTAAACAATATAACATATTAACATATAACATGCTCTATATGTATCAAAAAGAAAATAACTTTATTTAAAAAAGTTATTAAAAAGAAAATGTTTTTTTGAAAACATTCAAAACTGAGGGCTTATTTAATGTTCATTCACCACGGCTACATAATTTTAGTGAGAAAAGTAGTCCTCACAGAGCAATTCTCTCTAGACATTTTAAAATTCTTCATCTAAAACTGTGTTACATTACGAATATAAAAAGGGCCAAAACTGCACCTGCAGTAAAAAGAGAGGGTGGAGCAGGAGGAGGCTGGTGATGAATGCCAGTTGTTACTACAGTAGGAACAGAACTGGTTGCAGAGTTTGGAGGAGCATCCATGCCAGATGGCTGCAAAGGAGGAAGTGGAGGTGGTGGTCCTGTCAAAACCAAAGAATAAGAAATATCATCTGAAAGCAAACAAATAAAACAAGTTATTGCACATCCGAACATAATCTTCTCATTTATCAAACTATAATATCTACAAACACCAAGCCCTTACAACTGAATTAGATATCCAGGGTAAAATATCCTTTTAATACATTCCAAAGCAGGTTTGCCTTAAGCTATGAAGGCCTGCAGGCAGCTGGGTTTTACCAGTGATATACTTAATTCACAGGGTCACTCCAAACCATAGTAACTGGCTTGGCACAGGCTACAAAGTGGAGGTGTATTCCAAATGGAAGTATACTGCTATTAATTTCTATCAGGCATTTTTGGGATTCCTTTAGATACTTTTAATTTAAGAATCTATTAAGTTTTAAAAATAGACTAAGAATGGCTAGATAAATACAGGGAAACAAACAGATTTACTTACCTGTAACAGGTGGGAGACTGGGTGGCAATGGACCTGGCGGTGGTACTGGGGGCCTGAGATTCACAGGTGGGGGTGTAAGAATTGGTGGAGGTGGGGGGAGTCCAGGAGGAGGTGGTCCTTCAACAACAGGAGGCTGTGCTGGGAAAGGCAGCATACCAGGAAGATTCACATCTTCTACAACTACTGGATCACTTCCATGATCAAAAGGACACATGTCTCCTCTCATACAAAAACCCTTTTCTATGAGGAAGGAATAGTTAGAAACAAATGTCAAAAGCACTGGAAATATATATTTTCTCTAAGTTAGCAAAAGTAAAATATTTAAAAATATGAATATTTTTAATATTGGACAAAAGTATAATTAACCATTTCCCAAGAGCTACCTGATCTTCTCCAGTAATATAAATACTTGTAAAGTGATAGTATATTTAACATACTGATATAGTTAGGATGTTTATCCTCTCCAAATCTCATGTTGAAATGTGACAATCTGGCTGGACGTGGTGGCTCAGGCCTGTAATCCCAGCACTTTGGGAGGCTGAGGCAGGTGGATCACCCGAGGTCAGGAGTTCGAGACCAGCCTGACGAACATGGTGAAACCCCATCTCTACTAAAAATACAAAGATTAGCTGGACGTGGTGGCTGGCGCCCATAAGCCCAGCTATTAGGGAGGCTGAGGCAGGAGAATCGCTAGAACCCGGGAGGCAGTGGTTGCACTGAGCAGAGACTGTGTCATTGCACTCCAGCCTGGGGTATAGGGGGAGACTCCATCTCAAAAAAAAAAAAAAAAAAAAAAAAAAGAAGAAGAAGAGGCAAAAGAGAGAAATGTGACAAACGATGTTGGAGGTGGGGCCTGGTAGGAGGTGTTAGGGTCATGGGGGTAGATCCTTCATGAATAGCTTGGTGCCCTCCCAAGGTAACAAGTGAGTTCGCCCTCTATTAGTTCACAGGAGCTGGTTGTTTAAAAGAGCATGGCACCTCCCCCACCACCAACCCCACTCTTGCTCCCTTTTAGTTGCTCTCCCTTCGCCTTCTACCATGATTGTAAACTTCCTGAGGCCTTCACCAGATGCAGATGCTGGCACTACACTTTTTGTACAGTCTGCAGAACCATGAGCCAAAGACACCTCTTTTCTTTATAAATTTCCCAGGCTCAGGCATTACTTTAGAGCAATGTTAAACTAACGTATACATACTAAAAAAACAAAAAAAACACACAAATGAAAATAACCTAACGAGATGAGACTTAAATATAATTTTTGTCATATTTTTGTCTTTAGAAATGTCCTTCATTTAAATCTCTTAAAACTAAAAAAAATTGCAATGATGGCTTTAATACTACTTATAAATCTTTTACGGTAAATCCTTAAAAGTCTTCAATTCTTTTTATTTTTTTATTTTTATTTTTTTTGAGACGGAGTCTCGCTCTGTCACCCGGGCTAGAGTGCAGTGGTGCGATCTTGGCTTACTGCAAGCTCCACCTCCCGGTTTCACGCCTTCTCCTGCCTCAGCCTCCCGAGTAGCTGGGACTACAGGCGCCAGCCACCACGCCCAGCTAATTTGTTGTATTTTTAGTAGAGACGGGGTTGCATACCATGTTAGCCAGGATGGTCTAGATCTCCTGACCTCATGATCCACCCACCTCAACCTCCTAAAGTGCTGGGATTACAGGCGTGAGCCGCTGCGCCCAGCCAAAAGTCTTTAATTCTTTAATAAAATTCTTACAAAGGTGACATTTACATTTCTAGATACATTTCTATTTACAGTCCAATAATCACTCATTCTAAAGAAATGAGTTTTGTCAATAATGTTTCAGTAGCAGATTCCCTGATAAAAACTCAGTAGATATTTACTCATTTGGTAAACTCCCACAATTTATTAAGACTTACTTGCAAATAAATACTACCTTTAAATTGATAATCAAATTAGTGGCAACTAATAAATGTTTCAATCATATTGAGGAATTCAAAAAGTGACTAAGGCTAATTTCCCACTTTTCAGAGGTAAGTCTTTGAATAACTATGTACAACATAAACACAGAATTTAGGCAGCTGGAAATATTAATTAAATACTTTATCAAACAGCTGAAAGACTTACCATCATAGTCTCTACACCGTTTCTTTGGCATGGGTGGTCTTACGTAAGAGTTATGGTCCACTTGGTCTTCATGAAATTCAGACCAACTTTCGGTAGTGTTGTTTCCATGATGAGTAGGAGCAATTACTGTAATAGTGCTGCTCAAAGTAGGTACAGGGTAGTGGCCAGATGAAATACTAGGTACCGAAGAGACTGGAGTATAATTATTTTCTAATGGATCTGTTCTATCCAGGTCATATTTAGGTTTTACCAGATCCCTTTCTGCAACGAAAGATAAATGACATATAAAACTACACTGTATTAAAAAAAAAAAAGTCCCAGATCTAAGAAATAGTGATATTTTTATAAACATAGAAAAAAAATTTTAAATTTTGCATAATAATCATTTTCTTTTAAAAAATATTCAATTAATATACAATGTTAAAAGGTAAGCGATTTCTTTTTAATATAACCCAAACTACAAAACCAGGTAATGCTGCCATATTTAATGTTTTTCCTTAGAGTTTTGTTTATAGAAAAAAGGAATTTTATATTTTCTTCATCACAATCTTGGTATGCATAATTACAGACCACAAAACAAAACATGCAATAAAGTATGGTTATTTTTCCTGTGATGAACATTTTGTAGTCATCCATTTAAAGTTACTACAATGGCTGTTATATTAAGATAAGAACGGATGACCCAGAAAGAGTTCATATTAAACATGCACAAAGAAATTAACTAGACTATACATATGGTCCTCAGGAAACAGAAAAGAAATTAAAGAGATTAGTTAAGTGAAGTAACATTCCATGAAGCCTTGTATACCTAGATCACAGCAGGGGAAAATTTCTAAGAAAAGAGTAACAGAATACAGGGCTTATACAAAGGCCATAAATAGTATTAAGAGTAGCAAAAAAAGTTTGAGAAAAGGTGCTTTACTGAAAAGTGTTTTAGGTGTTTTACGACAACATCTTACTTTCAATAACATGTACTAGAAGAAAATTATACATGTTGGGAATGACACGCTCTTGCAAAAATATATATCTGAAATAAAACTTTTTAAACTTTTAAAAATAGTTTTGAAGTATAACTGATATATAATAAACTGAACATATTTAAACTGTATAAGTTTTAATCAAGATATAACACCTCTGAAACCAATACCACAAATAAATGATGTACATATTCATCACTTCCAAAAGAATCCTCATGCCCCTTTGTAATCTGTAATCTATCATCCCTCCTTTACTCCATTTCAGGCAACGACTGGCTTTGCTCTCTGTCATCACAGATTAGTTTGCATTTTTAAAAACTAGTCTGGGCACAGTGGCTCAGGCCTATAATCCCAGCACTTTGGGAGGCTGAGGCGGGTGGATCACCTGAGGTCAGGAATTCGAGACCAGTCTGGCCAACCTGGTGAAACCCCCAACGTGACTCTACCAAAAATACAAAAATTAGCCGAGCATGGTGGCACTTGCCTGTAATCCCAGCTACTTGGGAGGCTGAGGCATGATCATCGCTTGAACTCAGGAGGCGGAGGTTGCAATGAGCTGAAACAGCACCACTGCACTCCAGCCTGGGCGACAGAGCAATACTCTGTCACAAAAACAAAGATTAAGAAAAAAAATTTTTTAACATACATATGTATTGTCCTGCTTCTTTCACTCAGCATAATTATACTGAGATTCATCCATTTTGTTGCATGTATCAATAGTTCTTTTCTTTTTATCCATGTTATGGTATGGATATACCACAACATGTTTATACATTCACCTCTTGATGGACATTTAGGCTGTTTCTAGATCTGGCTCTTACAAATAAGTCTGCTATGAACCTTTGTGAACAAACACCTGTGTGGACATACACTTTCATTTCTTCCAGGTAAACAGTAAGAAGTAGAATAGCGGACCCATATGCTAAGTGTAGTTTTAATATTTTTACATACTGCCAAAATGTTTTCCAAAGAGTTTCAGCTTATCTACTTTCTCACCAACATGGAATAGAATCAGTCTGTATCATCGTGGCTATCCTGTTGAATGTGTAGTGGTAACTGTGATTTTAATTTGCAAGGAATAAAACTTTTAAAGGAATTTTTAAAAAGCATTCTCTTGGACCACAGAATACATCATAATAGAAAAAAATGAAGACAACACTGACAAAATGTTAAGCAATTTTTAAAAACATTTAAACATGGAGTTTTTCATAAAAAGATAACCAAAATATATTATTTACCCCTGCTTCGTGTTCTGCTTCTGCTTCTAGTCCTGCTTCTATCTCTGTCCCTCTCACGAAGCCTCTCTTTACTCCAACTTCGACTTCGACTCCTGCTATAACTGCGACTCCGCCCTCGTCTTCTATTGTACCGGTCTCTGTATGAATCTCTTCGAGGAGGGTTTCGATCATAATCTCTTTTGCGAGAACGATCATCTTTTTTCCTCTCATCACGGCTTCTAAAGAAATATGTGATCACTTTAATACAAATAATTTTTAAGTGACACAGGAAAAAGCTAATTAAATGCAAAAGTTACATTTAATTCTTGTAACTTAACTTTCTATCCTACCATCAGACAACTGAAAAAACTGAGCTTAATATTCAGTACTTTAAATCCCTTTTAAATGAAAAACAATCTTTTTAAAGCCTTAACCCTTAGTCTTATTACACATTGGCAACTATACAATTAGGCATCTGTAGATAAAGGCATCTGTATATAAGACTTAGAGTACATATAGAACATACTATCCCGTACATATAATCTCACTTACAGACATGTATCACATGCATTGTATTCTAAGTGCTTTTGAAGCCTGAATGAGAAAAACAATTTAATCACACTAAATGGAAACAGCAGGCAAAAAAAAAACACCCACACATTAAGATTCTACTGGAATCTGAAGTTAGGAATAAAAAGATAAGCAGCTAATATATGTCAAGCACTGTTCTAAACTCACTCCCAAGATCTACAAATCTGACCTAGATTTTCATGGTAGAAACGGACCTAGTTATATTTTCCTAGACCAATAAAAGAGTAGATATTACTTGCCTCTGCGTAAAAGATAACCCAAGTCTAAACATTTGTATAAAAGATAACTTACATCGAAACACTGAGTATGGTTCAATGAACTGCTCACCTATTTTCCCTGTATCGGGAGCTTGACTGGGGAGGACTGTGATTTAGCCTTCTAGAAAACTTCTTCTCTCGCTCTTCCTCCTTAGTGATCTGATTAAAAAAAAAAAAAAAAGTGTACAAGTTTAGTAATTATTCCACTGTTAAATAGCCTTAGATAGGGCTGGGCACAGTGGTTCATGCCTGTAATGCCAGCACTTTGGGAGGCTGAGGCGGGTGGTTCACGAAGTCGGAAGTTCGACACCAGCCTGGCCAACATGGTGAAACCCTGTCTCTACTAAAAATACAAAGATTAGCTGGGCACAGTGGCAGGGGCCTGTAATCCCAGCTACTCTGGAGGCTGAGGAAAGAGAATCGCTTGAACCTGGCAGGCAGAGGTTGCAGTGAGCTGAGATCGCGCCAGTGCACACTCCAGCCTGGGCGACAGAGTGAGGCTCTGCCTCAAAACAAACAAACAAACAAAAAAAAGCCTTAGACACATTACTGCTTTAATGACTTTATTAACATTAACATTTAATTAACATTAAATAAAATTTAATTAACATT
This sequence comes from Homo sapiens, assembly GCF_000001405.40. Lineage (NCBI taxonomy): Eukaryota > Metazoa > Chordata > Mammalia > Primates > Hominidae > Homo > Homo sapiens. The sequence goes on from NC_000013.11 coordinate 79,372,384, forward strand.
AAAATTAGTTTATATAACGTAGAAGCAAAATTGTCATCTTCTAAAATTATCCAAACAAAGTAAATTTCTCTACTAAGTATAATCATTTAACTATAATGAAATGATTACATTGGTGAGAAAACATTTTAAGCAAGTATGCTCATTTAACATAATTAATGGAAATCCAATTTTATTCCTCTTTCAAAAGTCTAACATATATTCATGTTTTGGTTTCGTGGACTTGGTGTGGTACCAAACACATCAAGGAATATAGGAGAATACATTAGAACTCACCAAGTCATAAATACATACACACACACAAACATATACATGTTTATATATATAAATATATATTTACATATTATATATATTTATGTATCATATTGTAATTTATTATATATTTTATATTATATATAATTATATGATATATATTATAATTATATGATATATATTTATAATAAATATTTTATATAAATATATTATATATTATATAAATATAAATATATTTATAATATTTTATATGCTATATAAAATATATCTTATATATTACATATTTTATATAATATATAAGATATATCTTATATATTACATATTTTATATAATATATAAGATATATCTTATATATTACATATTTTATATAATATATAAGATATATCTTATATATTACATATTTTATATAATATATAAGATATATCTTATATATTACATATTTTATATAATATATAAGATATATCTTATATATTACATATTTTATATAATATATAAGATATATCTTATATATTATATATTTTATGTATTATATATTTATATAAATTTTTATATAAATATATAAAATATATAAAAATATATAAATATATATAAATATGTATATGTTTATGTGTGTATGTATTTATGACTTGGTGAGTTCTAATGTATTTATATATTTATATATAAATATATAAAAATATAAATAAATATATATAAATATAAAATATATATTATATATAAATAAAATATATAAATATATAATATATATTATATATAAATATATATAATATATATTATATACTATATATAAATAAAATATAAATATATATTATATATTATATATAAATATATATAATATGTATAAATATACAAATATATATAATATGTATAAATATACTTATTTATATATATTACTATATATATTTATATAATATATTTATATATTACTATATATATTTATATAATATATTTATATATTACTATATATATTTATATAGTATATTTATATATTATATATTACTATATATATTTATATAGTCTATTTATATATTTATATATTATATATTACTATATATAATAATATATAATATTTTATATATATATATTACTATATATAATAATATATAATATTTTATATATATATATCTGGGAAAACAATATATAAGGTGAAATAGTTCTCCAGTTTCTCACAGCAGCATGACAGCTATATATTTCTGTTTCCTACAAGGTGCCTCCATTCACATTATATAGCTACTAGAAAGCAACCTTGGAAAATATTCTCAGTGCTACTTTCTCCAGACTATATTGTTGAGAATAATGGTCCTCAACAACAGGAACGACAGGAATCACTGTTTTTCTAGGTAATTAGAAAAAGGGACTTAGAGGTTGAACAAATTCAGGAAATATCGTGCAAGTGGCTTCTATAAATAAGATAGGGCTCAAGATTTTGTGTTACTGAGAACCATAAGATATTCTCATGCAGGTAGTCTACGCACAGGGTACACATGTCCCAGTTTATGCCAGCTGTTCCAGCATCCTTTTGATAAGGGCTTCTGACTGTCAGAATGTACCACTTTATGCTGGGCACAGTGGCTCACACCTATAATCCCAGCACTTTTAAAGGCAGAGGTGGGTGGATCACTTGAGGTCAGCAGTTTAAGACCAGCCTGGCCAACACGCTGAAATATCATCTCTACTAAAAATACAAAAATTAGCTGGGCATGGTGGCACGCGCCTGTAATCCCAAAAGGGGATTACAGGAGGGATACTTGGGAGGCTGAGAGAGGAGAATTGCTTGAACCCAGGAGGCAGAGGTTGCAGTGAGCCACTATGGGGCCACGACACTCCAGCCTGGGCAATAGACTAAGACTCCGTCTCAAAAAACAAACAAAAAAAAGTGTGCCACTTTAGATGAGAAATCAAATGGAAATCCTATTAACAGACCAAACTAGGAGAAATAATCTTTAAAGCATTCTTTCAACAGTTTGCCTTTTTAAATTCAAGTACTTTCGTACTCTTTCCACCTATTCCAGCTCTCCTCCCAGACCAGACAAAAAACCGGGTACTAATACGACCCTTCTGATGCACTCTTTCCCTTCTATTTCCTCAATGCACTTTTGCGAGTTATCTAACAGATCACCATATTCCACAGTACATGCCCATCTGCAAACTTTTAGTATAGCCACAGCATTTTAAACGTAGATTGCCATCTGGCATTTCAACAATTCTGAAAGATCAGGGATAAGTATCTCCCACAATTGGTTGAAAAAACAGGAAGTATTATTACATCAATAGATAATAAGACTAAGGCTTTGCTACTAACTCGATTTAGGGGAAGACTACTCAAGCCAAGGGACTGTGATTTACTCAAGATTTTCTGAGAATTAAAGCATACATATAATATATATATTATATATATTTTATACATTTTTTATATACTATATATTTATATTTTTATATATTTATATGATATATATAAATATATATTTATATATATCATATAAATATATATTTATATTTTAAAAATAAATAATATATATTATTCATATTTATATATATTATATATATATATTTTTTTTTTGAGACGGAGTTTAGCTCTTGTCACACAGGCTGGAGTGCAATGGCATGGTCTCAGCTCACTACAACCTCTGCCTCCCAGGTTCAAGCGATTCTCCTGTCTCAGCTTCTCGAGTAACTGGGATTACAGGCACCTGCCACCATGCCTGGCTAATTTTTGTTTTTAGTAGCGACAGGGTTTCACCATATTGGCCAAGCTGGTCTTGAACTCCTGACCTAAGGTGATCCACCCGCCTCAGCCTCCCAAAGTGCTGGAATTACAGGCGAGAGCCACAGTGCCCAGCCAAAGTATAATTTTTCACAGCAAAAATCTGAAACCAAACCAAAGTTCCACCAGTAGGCAAAACTTGAATAAACCATTGCATATCTCTATGTTGCATAAGCAATTGCCAACACAATATACACCGTCCCTTTCTTCCTAACAGAACCCTTATACTGTTAGGTATGAAATAGGTTCAGTTATAAATTACATTTCTGGTCTTCCCAGGCAGATAAAACTGATTGGGATGTTACATGTGGGTATGTGTATATGAAAATATACAAATATACATGTGTGTAAATATATTCAGATAGAGATATAAATATATTTGAGATTACATATTATAATATATATTTTATTGCATAATAAAATGTATTATTTATATGTAATCTGGAAAAAGCATAAAAGGAGAAAAAAAGGTCACAACATCAACATCTCTTACAATCTCAAAAATGACAGCAGCTACCATTTACTGAGAACCTACCATGTGCCACATGTGAAAAGTAAAATAATGTATATAAAGCACTTGATTGGTGCTTTATATACATTATTTTACTTATTCCTCACAAGAACCTTTAATATTTCCATTTCGCAGCTGAGTAAAATGAGGCTCAGAAAAGTAATGTTTTCAAGGTCACAAACCAGTGATTTGTAGAACCAAAATTTTAACCAAGATATGTGTGACCTAAAGCTAGGGCTAAATGCAGAAACATAATGGCTTGACTGCCAACAATTATTTTCACTAAAATTATAGTTTGTTTGTTTTTTTTTTCCAGACAGGGTCTTGCTCAGTTGCCTAGGCTGCAGTGTAATGCTTTGATCTGCACCCTCAGGCTCTGGGGCTCAAGCAGTTCTCCCACCTCAGCCCCTCAAGTAGTTGGGACTACAAGCATGCACCACCCCATCACACCTGGCTAATTTTAAAATTTTTTTCATAAGAGATGAGGTCTCACTATATAACCCAGACTGGTCTCAAACTCCTGGGCTCAAGTGAGCCTCCTGCCTCAGCCTCCCAGAGTGCTGGGATTACAGGCATGAGCCACCACGCTCACCCTGGCCAAATTATAATCTTTTAACATCAAATTGAAAAGATATAAATTATTATATGACTAGTAACTAAGGGTGAAGAGAGAAGGTTGTAAAATACACACAAAAATTTTGGGACCTCTTGAAGTATGAAGTCATATCCACTGTCTTGTGAAGGTCCTTGTGTTTTACTACCTTAAAAACAGTCCCCTACTAAATACATGTATGACAAAAGCAAACAGACCAATTGTCAACCTAATTATTTTCATAGAACAGATATTAAGACTCTATGTCTGTAAGATATTGTGCAGAGTAAAAGCAGGCCTGACAATACTAACCTTAGAAAGCCAGCATGCTTGTAAGGCTGGCTCCTGGGCACTTTGATTTCTCGAGGGTTCCCATTACCCCCTGATAAGGAATGGTTCACTATGCCTGAATTAGTTATGAAACAATATGGTCTACACTGAACATCTGCCTTCCTCCCAGGAGTCTGGAATTTTGGTACATACTAGGTAGGCGGTGCCTATGTGACCAGTTCCAAATAAGAACGCAGGGCAGAGTTTCTAAGGAGCTTGCCTAATTCCCATGTGTTGTTACAGTTCACTGCTAGGGGAATTAAGCACATCCTGTGCAACTCTGAGGACTTTGTAAGCTTGTGCTTGTTTTCCACTGGACTTGGCCTCATACACCTTTTCCATTTGCTGACTTTGCTTTATATCCTTTTGCTGAAATAAGCCAGGGCCATAAGCACAATTATATGCAGAGTCCTATGAGTCCTCCTAGAAAAATCATTTAAACTGGGAGTGGTCCTGAGGACTCCAACACAAAGATATAGAAGATAAAAACTCAGTTTGGTTATTCCTCTTATGTGTTTAAATAACCTGTAAGGTATTAACACAAATCGTTACCTCTTCCTTCTTTATATCTTTTTCTTGGTGTGGAAAAAATTCTACCTTCAGGCTTCCTGATGATGGCTGCTCTGGAGGAGGTAGGTAACTCTTTGTATTCACAGCATCAAAAAGTTTTTCCACAAATATCTGTGTCTCTAAAAATAAAACCAAACACCATAGATTAAAACACATTTGTTAAGATTAATTCCCCGCTTCCACATCTCTTATCTCTAATATGATGAAACATACCTTGACTTTTATAAACTAGAAAATATACTAGCACTGGCCAGGCGTGGTGGCTTACGTCTGTAATCCCAGCACTTTGGGAGGCCAAGGCAGGTGGATCACCTGAGGTCAGGAGTTCAAAACCAGCCTCGCCAGCCCTGTCTCCACAAAAATTAGCCAGGCATGATGGCAGGTGCCTGTAATTCCAGATACTAGGGAGGCTGAGGCAGGAGAATCACTTGAACCCAGGAGGCAGAGACTGCAGTGAGCCGAGATCGCGCCACTGCACTCAAGATCACGCCATTGCACTCCCGCCTGGGTGACAGAGCAAGACTCCGTCTCAAAAAAAAAAAAGTAAAAAGAAAGAAAATATCCTAATATCAACAGCTTCCCAACCAGTGTGCCATGGCACAAGTCCTGAGGCAATACTGATTCATGCTATTTTCAAGACGGTAGGGACTGGAATGGTCGCAGCCCTCTGGGCTAGTCACCTCCAGCCATGACTAAGTCTTCTCCACATCGCCTACTCAGTGTTGCAAACACAAACACTATCATAATCTAGATGTGGCAAGGTACAAAAAGCTGAAAAGCAATGCGCTAGGTAAGATTCAAAGCAGTTTCCTAAGCAGTACTGGCTTTAAATAAATAGGCAGTCATTTTCTTAATCTTTTAATCTATGTAAGAAAAAATATCAACATGCTTTAAGAATAAGCACATGGACATTACTGAGAGGTGGCATCCATTTTAAATAAGCTATGGATATACTCAATAATAATATTGTTTATTTAACTTTGTTAAAATTAGGGCTTCTTACCGAGTTCCTTTAATATTCTGTGGATAAACTTATTTTAAATAACTTTATTTATTTTTTTTGAGATGAGTCTCACTTTGTCGCCCAGGCTGGAGTGCAGTAGCGCGATCTCAGCTCACAGCAACCTCTGCCTCCCAGGTTCAAGCAATTCTCCTGCCTCAGCCTCCCGAGTAGCCGGGATTACAGGCACCCACCATCATGCCCGGCTAATTTTTATATTTTATGTAGAGACAGGGTTTCACCATGTTTGCCCGGCTGGTCTTGAACTCCTGACCTCAGGTGATCCACCCACCTCAGCCTCCCAAAGTGCTAGGATTACAGGCGTGAGCCACCATGCCAAGCCTTAAATAACTTTTTAAAATATAGTAGTATTTTTAAACCAAAGATCTTACCTTTCTGAAGAAATACATCCAGCTGATCAATACATAATGCCTTTAACTCTTTTTCACTTTTGTCTTTCTTTACCAAAGCCAGAACATATTTTGCTAGGGCGGATGGATCTGCATCACAGCTAAAGAAAAAAACCAATGTTGAAGAAAATTTAGCCAACTGCACATTCTACAAATTCCAGTTACAAACTGAATTAGTGAGAATAATAGTTAAGTGAGTTAATACATGTAAAAAGCACCCGGGTCACAGAGGACCTTGAAGAAATTTAAGTTCTCTTTATACTAACACTCCTTAATGCTATGTGTAGCCATTTTATTTCTTAAAAACATACCCATCAGTATATTAGTTTAAACAGCAAAAAAAGAAAGTCTAGAAATGGATCCAAATGTACTAGGAATTCAGATTTTATAAAAGTGGCATCCAAACCAACTAAGAAGAGATAAATTATGCAATAAACAGTATTGAGGCCAGGCACAGTGAATCAGTCCTGTAATGACAGCACCTTGGGAGACCTAGGCGGGCAGATCGCTTGAGCCCAGGAGTTCAAGACCAGTCTGGGCAAAATGGCGAAACCCAGTCTCTACCAAAAAAAAAAAAAAAAAAAAAAAAAATTAGGCATGGTAGTGTGTGCCTGTAGTCCCAGCTACTCGGGAGGCTGAGGGAGAAGAATCATCTGAGCCCAGAAGTTCAAAGCTGCAGTGATTTGGGATCACGTCACTGCATTCCAGTCTGGGTGACAAAGTAAGAACCCTATCTCAAAAAAAAAAGAAAATGTATTGAGACAACTTGGCAGTTGCCTTTTACAAAATAAACTTGGAAACATGTCAGAGGAAAACACAATTTATTTAACCCTGGAGTAAGGAAGACACAAAATCCATATTATCAAAAAAGTAATGTGATTATAAAAAACAGAACAAAAAAAAAAACTCAGAATGAAGAGTCAACCAATGAAAAACAAGCTCAGTTTATCTCATCACAAAAAGGCTAATTCCCCTAACCCACAGTGTTTTTACCGAGACTAACATTATAAGAGAAAAAAAGACAAAGGATATGAATAGATGCTAAAACATAAAATAAATAAAAATGACTCTTAAATGAGTAAAAATTCAACCTCACCCATAAGAGAAATACAAATTTAAGTTACACTGAAATATTTTTCAGTTATCAGGTTGGCAAAATCCAATAAATATGAAAATGTATTCTGGTGGCAAGACTAATGAAAACGCAATTCTAAACATGAGCTGGTGTGAGTAAACTGGTAGCTGATAGAATACTCTGGTAGTATCAAGGTCACAAATGCAATTTACATCTACGAATTTATTCTACACATATACTCACGTGTTCAAAATGACATGTGTACAAGTTATTCATTGTCATATTGATTGTAAAATCAAAAATGTGCACATGTCCATTTAGAGAGAACTGGAAAAATAAACTGTATTAAAATCCACACAAAAGAATGACATGTAGCAAAAAGATAAAAAGACAGGTAATGAAGTTTTCAACCCCTAAAGAAATCTTCATATCAATTCATTAAATTTAAAATGCAAGACAAAGAAAAGGTTTGTATAGTATTTGCCATTTGTGTTGGGGGAGAAGAGAGAAATCTGGTTTATATATATGTGGAAGGATAAATAAACTACGGCTATCTGGACAGGATGATAGTATGAACTAAGTAAAGGAGGGACAGGGTAAGAAGGGAAAGTTTTTAAAAAAAAAAAACCACATAATAATTGTATGTATTCATAGAGTACAATGTGATATTTTGATACCTGTATGCAATGTGTAATGAACAACCAGGGTAATTAGCCTATCTATCACCTAAAACATTTATTTCTTTGTGTTGGGAACATTCAAAATCTTCTCTTCTAGCTATCTGAAAATATATAATAAATTAACTGTAGTTACCCTACAGTGTTAAACAACACTAGAACTTACTCATCCAATCCAGCGTAATTTTGTATCTGTTAACCAACCTCTCCCTATCTCCCTACCACCCTTCCCAGCATTTGGTAACCACTATTCTACTTTCTACTTATATGAGACCAACTTATTTAGCTCCCATATATGAGTGGTAACATACAGCATTAATCTTTCTGTGCCTGGTTTATTTCAATTAACAATGTCAGGACGGGAAATTTTTGATGTCTGAACTATTTTCATCCAATTCAAAAGAATGATATAATTGTTTATAACTAAGCTAAAATTATTAAGATTTTACAAGTTAGAGTAACTAACAATAAAATAATAGCAGTAGTTAATTACTAACACTTACTCAACAATTACTAACACTTACTCAACACCTAGTTTGTGCCATGAACTGCACTTCTAATTTTACATACTATATTGGGCTCTCACTTTACTGATAAAGAAACTGAGGTTCAGAGAAAAGCTAAGTAGACTTCCCAAGACTACACAGCAAGGAAATGAATCAAGATTTAAAACTAAATCTCATACTCCAAAGTCCACATTCTTAACCACCACACTAGACTGCCTCTTACAACGAGGTGCCAGAAACCTGACTTCCAATTTACTTTTTAAACACCTAGAGTTACAGTCACTCCCTATCAACCAAATCAACCAGACATCAACCAAACTAGACATCAAGCTAAACATATTTCAATTTACTGGAAATCATTATGATACATAATAATATTATTATGTTTTATTGCAACTGCTGTATATAAATTCAGTCTACACTGAGTCTAAATGCTGTAATTTAATATTGGTTTGATTGTTGTGGTGAATTTTTAACTTATTAGTGGTTTTTCCAGTAACTTACCTGTCATTTTTCAATTCTCTCAACGAAATACCAAATCTATTTCATTTTTGCACCATTATTTTTTAAATAGGACATTTTAAAACTGAATTAAAATGTTAGCAGCTAAAAATCTAGAGGAAGGCTTTCATGATTTTTATAATTATTATGGTCTATAAACCACAGTTGGATAAAACAGCAAGACAGAATTAAAGAAGAATCTCTGCTCAACATCTTCTGTAGAAGCAATCTGAACTGAATAAAAAACGATTAGCCACAACAAATATACTACCATATACAGTTCTAAATCCTTGAAATAATTTGAAAGGCAGATGACTTTTTAACATTTGTTAAAAGTTCAAATTATATAGAAGCAGGGGTTATAATTTCACATTTAATGGCAAAACAACTGAATTTGCATTTGGGAAACAATTTTTCTTAAGTCCTACAAGAAGTTCCATTTTTACTTCAATATTTTTGAAAACAAAAAGCTGAGTAAAAAATATGGACCACAGAAATTTAATAATATACTGAAATGTTATGTATCAGGAACAGAAAGGCAAAACCTATGTTCTCTTTTCTATTTGTCTTAAATGTTATATTATCTGAACTTCTAGTGATGATGTTATGCAAAGTCAATTAAATAAACATTCAAATTAACTAATTAAAAAAACTATATTCATATAGCAAATTATTTTTAAAAATTATCTCCATGGCTAGCAAGATTGTTCGAGGTACTTTACCAGTTGCCACTGCTGATAAAAGGTTTGTAATTTGAATGATCTATATCTTGTCAGAGCTAGACTTTTCTTTACCCCTGCTATATACTGCTAGCATCCTGAAAATGTGTGAAAGAAAAAGCAGACCTGAAATTGCCTTATAGATCGGGGAAAAAAAGAATCAAGTTTTGAAAAGTATTTCTTAGCTCCCACAAACAACAAAATCTGCCAATAAAGTATGATTATGATCACCAAGTGCTCCAACTGCAATTACTCTTCTGTGTGTGTGTTGGGGCTGGTGAGGGAGCAGAATACAAACAAAAGCAAAAACTACAAAATAAGGCATGAGATCTAACTCAACAATAGCATTTGTAGAAGGCAAATAGAAGGTGAAAACTTAAGCACTTTAGTAAACGGTTAAGTTAAAGGAAATGAAAGTGTGAAATGGCTGGGGGGGAAACATAAATTATAAACATGCAATAAAACAGAAAACTGAGAACTAGACAGGAAAGAGTGCTGCTCTCCTATGCAGTAGAGTGTTAGTGCTTTCAGTTCTAGGTTCCACCTTTATAAATGCATAAACAAACTCAAACAGATTCTTAGAAAATGACCAAGATGGTAAATGGATATCATTATTAGATGGTTTTCTAGGGATTCTCAGCCTAGAGAACTGAAATGTCAGAGAGAACTTGGTAAGTCTTCAAATAATTGAAAAGTTATCACAAGGAAAAAGGATTACATTTGTCCAATATATCCTCCAAGGAATGTAACTAAAGCCAGTAAGCAGAAGCAGCCAAACAGGTTTTGGCTTAAAATAGAGATAGGCTTTTTTTTTTTAAAATAATCAGAGGCCTCCCAAAGGCAGAATAAACTGCCTGAGGGTTCTCCTTCATTAGAATGGTTTCAAGCATAGGCTGAACAGCTCTTGGCAAATAAGCACTGGACTGGATAGTAAATCCCACACAAGTATCAATGAGTAAAATCATTAGGTTTAAATCTGTTCATAAGATACTGTGCAAATATATGAAATATAAAATAACACATTAGTCTGTTCAATTACTGATCTACATATATTAGTAATAGAAAAGCATTTTTTAAAAATTACACTGTAGATAAAATACACACTACAAAAGATCTGAAACATATTAATAGTTACTAAGAGAGAGAATATACATACAAATATATGTCTCACTAGATCAATGGCTCATTTCTGTCAGGGAATCTTTCATCTTCATATAAAGTTTGATGAATAAAATAAGAAAATAAGTATGTTGGGTTTAGTGATTATCGTCCAAATATCGCATTCATTATTCAAGAAAATTTTAAAAGCACCTACTCTGTCACTGTTCTAGATCCTGAAAATACAACTTTTAGAAACATCACTGTTGCCACGGAATTTACATTGGGGGGTGGGGGGAACCAATATGCATATTACACAAACATACGTTTATAGTATGTATTGTCATGTAGACACGTGCTCTGAGGAAAAATCCAGGTTGAAAAGATAAAGTGTAAAGGAGGAGAAAGGAAGAAAGGTAAGGAGAAAGAAAACAGAAAAGATAAAACAAGTATTATTTAAGATCATCAAGGAAGGACTCTGTTGAAGGGACATTTAAACAGGGATCTGAATTTAGATAGGAATGGAAATGGAATGCAAATATGCTTTATGGCTATCCGGAAAAGAAAAAATTTTAAAAAGCCCAGGCCAAGGGAACCCATCAGAAAGAGCCTAAGGCCTACTTGACCTTCTTGACACATATGAGGGACAGGAGTCCAGTGAAATGGAGCAAAGTGAGCATTCACGAACACTGGGGTTTCCAATTTTAATTCTCCAAGGATTTCAAATTAACTGCTTCAGTGAGCTTTGGCAAATTAAATTTCCAAATCACTATGAAGTCATTCACATCAATGATTTTAAAGGCATAAAAATAAAACTTTGTCAATTCCTGAATATACTGTGTTAAGGATACAGCTAATAAAGTTTTTTTTTTTTTTTTCTTTTCATTTCATTTTTTTAGAGACAAAGTCTTGCTGTTACCCAGGCTGGAGGGCGGTGGTGCAATCATGGTTCATTGAAACCTTGAACTCCTGCCAAGAGATCCTCCCACCGCTGCCTCCCCAGTAGCTAGGACTACAGGTGCACACAACTACACCTGGCTAATTTTTGTTTGGGTGTACAAATAGGGTCTTGCTCTGTTGACCAGGCTGGTTTCGAACTCCTGGCCTCAAGTGATCCTTCTTCCTCGGCCTCCCAAAGTGTTGGGATTTACAGGTGAGAGCAATAGTGCCCAGCTGGCATCTTTGTTTTTAAAAACAGTTCAGTTGGAGACTTCCAGCTTCATGCATACCCTTTAAAAGCATAGAAGTGACCATCTAAGAAGGTCATTCTCTTCCAACTATATCTGGGGTGGAGAGGGAAGTACACACACTAAAGTTACAGAAGCCAAATTAATACAGAAAATCAAATGTTATAATAAAATATCTTTAAAAACTAAATATTCTTAACAAGAAACAAATCACCTCTGGAAATAAAGGTTGTACTAATCCCCCAACACACCCATAGTGTGTTTTAGTTTTTCAGATTTTCAAAACAGTAATGAGACCGTAAAGAAAGCTATAATACTCCAATACAATATTTCAAAAAGTTTGTTTTGCACGAGTTTCTTGGAGACTTTAGAAATTCAGTAGAATATAACTCACGGAATTTAACCCAAGCTTCCATGTTCAGTAATCTTGAAAAGAAGCTGGAGGTGGTAGTGGGAATTAAAAATTAAATTTAAATATGTTAACTGAGTAACTTTAGAACACGGATATGCACCCACGTCTGTTCTTTCCAAATTTTCATTTTATATTCAGGAAAAATATCTAATTTGCATCAAAGTCATGATTTTATATTCTGTACTTAGAATTACTCTTTTAAAAATCCAAATTTCATTGCAGCAAGCATAATACATACATTGAAAATTTTAATTGTAGTTTATTACATGCTTCACTTAATTCAAACAAGAAAGCAAAAATAGATTACTTATATACAGTAATTAGTTACAGCAAAGACTACTCATTAAGAGTTATTATACACCCAGTTCATTCTACAAAATAAAATCAAAATATAAGCATATCTAAATATGATCCATCCTTGAGCATCACACAATCTATTAATACTTCTTCATCACTGCAAAATGTATCACAATACATGTAATTATAACACTGAAAACTATTGGCCAGTTCTTTTATTCCCCCACATCATTCCAAGAAATAGCATGATTCCATCTTACTTTTAGAACAGTGGTTCTCAAACTTTTTGGTATCAGGAGCCCTCTATGCTTTAAAAATAGGAACCACTCCAAACAGCTTTTTATTTAAAAGAGTTATATCAATATTTATCAAGAATTAAAATTGAGAAAAAATTTAGTTTAGTTTGATATAATAAATCCATTAAAACTAGCATAAAAACTCTCTATATTTGTTTGAGTAATCAGAAGAAGAATTTATGTGCAAACAAACAGGAAGCCCATATGTGGGGCTGGCTTTTTTTCTGAATCCAGGAGTTCAAATCATATCACCAGGACTCTCTATTCTGCATTTTTCACTTTCAGAAATGCTCTCTATGTGTGGCAAAAATGATGGCCCCCAAGCAGTTCCCAGCTTACATTATTCTAACAGCTAGTGAAACCAGAAAAAGGAGGCTACTCTTCTCTCCCCCAGCATCCGTACTGGCCTCTGAAAATGACTCATCTTCCCCATTTAGGTCATATCCCCACTGCAGGTCAGGGATAGGCAGAGCTCTATGATAAATAGCCTCACCTGAAATTAAATACCATATTTTTAAAATTAAAAAAAAAAACACAAAAACTATTTTTCCAAAATAAAATACAAATTTTCTGAGAAGAGTGACCAAGTTTTACACTTTTTGCAAATACCTTTGTTTGGCTTAATAGAAGACAGGCCGATTCTTACATCTGTTTTTACATTCAGTCTGTTATGACATGTTATACTGGTTGAAGTACATGAAGAAAACCTGACCTGACACAGATACATAGTTGGAAAAACAAGGACCTCATAGACACCATGAAAGGCTCTCAGGAAATTCCAGGAATCCTGATATCACACTTGAGAACCATAGCTTTAGAAGTTACATAACTTCTAAATTAAATAAAAAAAAAAAAAGAAGTGCCCATTAAGTGTCAAAGACCCAATAGTCAGATAACAAAACCAAAGTAAAAGTTTGTACTGTTCAGTGCAAACAGCAGCAGCCCAAATGACAAATTAAGCCCAGATAGTTGTGGTTATAATTATGGTTATACATCAAGCCACAGAACTCTCTCTTTAAAAAAAAAAAAAAAAAAAAGGTGTATCTGCAATATGGTAACCCATGACTAACCTTCATATTTAGGGTTTTTTTTTTTTTAATTCCTATTCATAGTTGAGGAAGAATTGAGTTATCTGAGAAAAGACTGGTTCTAGAGGCCACCCCCACTCCATTACTCACATTCTGTCTAGTTAACAACAGATCTCAGGTAACCCATCCCTCTGGTTACTAAAATGAGAGAGCAGAGGCTAGTGAACATTTTCTTTTAAAACCAAAAAGGCAAAATTATCCAAAAGAAATAGCACTAAAACTAGAAATACAAAAAACCTAGTTCTATCATCCTGTTGGATAAATTTGGCTGAGTCGATTAAGCCTTTAACCTTTTTCTCATATTTCTTTAAAAGGTCTGGCTAATGCTGTGTGGTTATATATGTTAGAGATTCACTTCTAAGTCTTTCTCTAACATTGCTACCAAAATTTTCTGATACGGTTACCACAGTCATGCCAAAATTTATCTTTAAAAATGAGAAATTATTATGGACACTTTTCCGGTCATGAATCTTAAGACTAAGCAAACTAAGCTTCAGTTTTTTCATCTAACAGCTGACTTGCCAAACTAGAAATAATTACAAATAAATATAATTACAAATAAGACACACTTTATTAACCTGCCAAGCACCCTAACAATCGTTAAGGGATTACTAAATAATGAACTATGATAAAAAAAAATGCCTATAATCACCCCTAAAAATATACTTTAGTTAAATTCTGGTTGCTATATTTTAAGTCCTATATTACCTTTCAAACCTACTTTGTCCCAAGCCAAATTGTTAGCCTTTCCATGAAGCAGTCTGGTATTGAAGAAAAGCACTGAACTGTACTCCAAAAAACAATTTTCAGATTTCCAGTCTGGTGTTATTTCTGCTTTATTCACTAGTTATATAATCCTGCGTTAGCATTTTATTTCTCTAGGCTTTAGTTTACTCATTTAAAAAAAAAAAAAAGGCACTGAACCATACGATCTGAAAAAGTGGGTCATTTTTGTGAAAAAATATTTGGCTTTCACCACCTTGCGCTCTTTCTCCCTTCCCATTCCAGTAACTTTTAGTTAACTGAATTTCAAAATAATTTAGTACATAGCATTAGAATCTTCAAGAGAATTTTTTTTCTTTATGTCTTTCTAAAGAGTCACAGAATCCCATTTCCTCAGCACTCATGACCAAATTTTGAGCCCTTAGAAGGCATAAATAAATTCTACTTAATAGAAACATTTTGTGTATTTCTCCTAAATTGCCAGACCTATATAATTTCTGTACATTGTTTCTACCACTGTTACATAGCAACTACTGGTATGTTTGACTGTTTCTCCCATTGGTATTACAGATAACTATGCCTGCCTTTTCCCTAGAACAAATCACAATGTATTGAGAAGGAGCTTCTAATTACCAACATTATAGCAATCTAAATTCAGGCATTTCACAACTCACTCTTAAACTAGACTAAGAAATAGCTAACTAGTCTTCCTTTGTCTTCAAAACGTTTTATCTAATCAAACCTCTACATGCCATAAACTGGAATGCAGTGGCGATCTCAGCTGACTGCAACCTCCGCCTCCCGGGTTCAAGCAATTCTCCTGCCTCAGCCTCCCCAGTAGCTGGGATTACAGGCATGTACCACCACGTCTGGCTAATTTTTGTATTTTAAGTAGAGATGGGGTTTCACCATGGTGGCCAGGCTGGTCTCGAACTTCTGACCTCAGGTGATCCACCCACTTGGGCCTCCCAAAGTGCTGGGACTATAGGCGTGAGCCACCTCGCCCAGCAAGCAACATTCTTAAAAAGAGACTGGATCAAGTAACTCCTGTTTTAACCTTCCCCACATCTCATAATATAGCTCCAAAATTGTCCAATCACTTCAGTATAGCAATAAAACTTTCTCTACATCTGAAACCCACAGAGGCTAGGTGGATTCAAGAGCCTTTTCCTAATCACAATGTATACTCACGATTCCTCCAAACTTCATGTATTCTCACAGAACTTAACTGTTCCTCCAATTTGGCTGTTTAATGTCATCACAGGCATCCAAACTTAACATGATTCAATTTAGGTAAGTGCATTAACAACTTTAGAGACTGGTAACTGCAAGTTTATAAAGCAGTTTTCAAAAATAAGTTCTACCTATTTCAGTCTGCTTGCTACTATAAAAAATTAAACTTTTTAAAAAGGTAAGATAAGCACTTGAGATCATTAAAGAAAGTAATAGTAACAAATAAGAAACGTCACAATGACAATTTCTTACAAAATATGTCCAAAAAAGATCACAAGTTACAGGCCTCAAAGTACCTGTTATTGCATTTATAACTATTACAAGGAGCAACAAATAAACGACCGGCTGAAGTATATATTAATGCTATGTGGAATCTATAATCATTCAAACACTTTTCATTTATAAGTGACTTCATTTAAGATTTTATAAATTTTTTTATCAACTTTTAAATTGCCTGTAAAATGGAAAATAAATAATTGCAGAATGTATGGAGCAGAGATATACAGAACTCAAAAGTAGGCTAGAATTTACACTGACACACTATCTCCCGTAACTTCTTTTAAAATGGCTCTTTGAAACAAAAAACAAAATGAGGAACTACTTATAATGCAATACATAACATCATAAAACAAGTTCCTCTGAAGTACTAGATTTAAACCAAGAAAGTATACTTAATACTAAGAAAGCCTCCAACAGCAGCATTAGCTGACTTCTAGAAAATAACTTCTACTAATGAGAATAAAGCAAACATACACATAGAGGAAGATGTTCATTGCAGAGTTATTTAAAAAGTCAAAAACAGTGTACTAGTTGCGTTGTTAAAGAAAAAAAGAAACGGGAAAAAAAATAGTTATTTGGAAAGCCAAAGAAAAAAGCAAACAACCTAAATGACAAATAAGAACAGAATGGTTACATAAACTATAGTCTCTCATCCATGTACTAACCAAGCCTAATCCTGCTTGCCTTCCAAGTTAGATGAGATCAGGGGTGTTCAGAGTGGTATGGCCGTAGATGATTTGGTCATGCAAAAACACTGGATTTCAGCCATTGTAACGGCATAAAAACTACATATTAACAGTAAAAGTTCAAGGATGGGAAACGTAAAGAGGATTTTGCTTTTCAAGTCAAAGTCTTTTGGTAAGTTTTCCTTGACTACATACAGGAAGTACTTAAATAATTCAAGAAAATAAGCTTTTTTCCCCTAAAAAGTAATAATTACATCATAAATAAAGCACTATTTAAACAAAGTGCAATACACTCACATAATGGAATTCTATGGAACCACTGGAAAGAATAGGAATCTACCTAACAGTATACTTTTATGGGATGATGTGCAGTGTTACTGGAAATACTAGTTGTAGTAGCAACATATAAATGATTCTATCTATGAAAAAAAGTCATGTATATTCATCAATAGGTGGCACATGCATATTTTTACAGATATATGTTTACAAGTTTATATATGAGAATCAGAAAGGAATAAGAAGACTGATTTTTGGTTTCTATTTCTACACTGTTTAAATTTTTATTAGAACCATCATGTACTATTTTTAATTAGTAAGACTTAAGAAATTGTGTCAAATTAACAATAATGAGAGCATTATTATTGTTAACTACTGTATATACCATGATTCTGACAACAGAATACTACTCAGCAATACAAAGAAGCAAACTACAGATATATGCAATAATATGGATAAATCTCAGGCACATTAAAGCCTTGCTCAAAATAATACTCTGATTCCACTGACAGAAAAGTTCTACAACAGGTAATACTAATATATAGTGTAAAAAAGGCAGAACACTGCTTTCTTCTAGAGGTAGGTGGGGGCATGGGAAAAGAAATGAGTAAATTTTCCAGGGCAAGGGTAATGTTATCTTAACAGGTGACTGGGTTACAAAAATGTATACACTTGTAAAAACTATAAAATGGTACACTTAAGATCTGTGCACTTGATTGTATCTGTATTCTAAAATTAAAATAAAACTAAAGTACTGAAGTAAAGCATGGTATGCATGCTTTAGGGGTAAGTGCACTGACATCTGCGATTTACTCTGAAATGAACCAAAGGATAATAGTGACAAGCACACTAAAATGTTAATGGTAGAATCTCAATGACGGGTATGTCACTGTAAAATTCTTTCAACTTTTCTGTATATTCAAAATTTTCAAAATAAAGTTGTAGGGCAAGGGCAGTCAAGGAAAACCAGGCAGGAAAATTCTAAAAATGAACATTATTGACAGAGGACTAGCCTTTCATCACCAAAAATAAGAGAATAGTGTAAAAGATATAGATCAATATATAAAAAGTCTAGAATAAACCCAAATACACATAAGAACTTAGTATCTATTTAAGGTTGCATCTCAAATCCCTGGGAAAACATGGATTATGCAGTCAAGTTTTATAGAGATAACTTTGTGTGCATCTGAATAAAAATACATAAATAAGGCTATATCCATACTTCATACCTGGATTTTCTTTAAAAATAAGATCATAAAGGACATGGATGATACTACTTGAGAAAATACAGTGACTGGTTTCCATTTTGCCTCACTGACTTCTCGTGGTAAGTCACAGTATGATTTGTAGCACGCATATAGTCAATTAGAGTTCATTAATTGACTGGTAACCCAATTAGTATGCTGGCATACAGTAAGCACAACTAGTGATAGCTTTCGCTATAATATCACTGGCAGTAACTTCATCTCAAAATAGGGAAAGTTTTTCTGACTATGACTACAATAGAAAATCCAAACCCCATGAAATAAAGGATAAATTCAACTACATAAAATGAAGCATTTCTTTTTGTGTGTGTGTTTTTTTGAGACAGTCTTGTTCTGTAGCTCAGGCTGGAGTGCGGTGGCGCCATCTAGCGTCACTGCAACCACCACCTCCTGGGTTCAAGCAATTCTCCTGCTTCAGCTTCCCCTGTAGCTGGGATTACAGGCGCCCACCACAACACCAGGCTGATTTTTATATTTTTAGTAGAGACATGGTTTCACCATGTTGGCCAGGCTGGTCTCGAACTCTTGAACTCAAATGATCCACCCACCTCAGCCTCCCAAAGTGCTGGGATTACAGGCGTGAGCCACCGCACCCAGCCGAAGCATTTCTATATTAGAAAAATTACCATAAGCAGAATCAAAACATAAATGTCAGTATGGGAAAGAGAAAGTTGCAGATCATATCACAATTTCCCTAATACATGAAAAGCTCCTACAAATCAACTTTTTAAGAAACCAACAATGTATCAGAAAAACTAGGGAGTGTATGAACAATCAACAGGAAAAAATATATAATACGTAACACTATATATAATTATATATTATACAAGAATACATAATTATTATATAATTATATATTATGCAATACATTATTATATAATTATATATTATACATTATTATATAATTATATATTATACAATACATTATTATATAATTATGTATTATACAATAATACATAATTATATAATAATGTATTATACAATACATAATTATATAATTATATATTATACAATAATACATAATTATTATATAATTATATATTATACAATAATACATAATTATTATATAATTATATATTATACAATAATACATAATTATTATATAATTATATATTATACAATAATACATAATTATTATATAATTATATATTAATTATATATAAAATATATAATTAATTGTATAACGGTAATATATAATTAGTAATTATATATAATTACATTATATATTATTTATGATGTAACCATTACTTTTTAGGAAAAAAGCTTACTTTCTTAAATTATTAAATTAATCTCTGGAGCATTATATATTATATACAATAATTATGTAAGTATTATGTACTATATATGTAATGGTTACATCATAAATCACATATATTCTAATATATTAGTTATATAATTATATGTTATATATTATATATAAACATAATTAATATGTAAAATATGTTATCCATATATAATTTATATATATTTATATATATAAATAAACATAGGAAAAATTTTTCAACCTAACTTTTATAAAACAAACACACATTAAAACTATGTTAGCCATTCCACCTCGGGCTGGATGTGGAACATCACAAGAGACCACTGCTCTCACCCCAACAAGAAACAAGCCGCTTTAACTACAAAACTGTAGTATTTTTTAAAACCCAACAAGCTTGAGAAGACCAAAAAAAAAAAAAATCTGTAAATGAACTAACTATATTCTAGAAAGTGACAAACTCTTCAGAAGAGCAAAGAAACTCATGTTTACTCTCATTCCTGGTGGAAAGTCAGGAAGAAAAATCTGACTCCATAGATGGAGGTACAGAGAAACCAGCGAAACTTTAAATCATCTTTTAGCAGTCATATACACATGCTGTCGAGAGATTAGAATCAGAAGTACCACAAGCCACAAAGTGAGTCTACAGCCACTCATCAACACTTACTAACCAAAGACTCATGAGTAATTCTGGGAGCAAGGAAGAACTACAAGAGATTACCAAGGAACTACTAGCTTCCAGCTAACAAAGTCTGAGTGTAGAGCACAAGGGCTGAGTGAAACCCCTCTGAGGCATTCTTGGGTGGGTTACCATTCAAAAGACAAGGAAAGGAGCAACAATGCTGAAAAACAGTTCCAAAAGTCATAAAGGCAGGAGGTAGGAGTTAAGAACAAAGATCTCCCCAGCAATTCAAAAACCTGGAACCAGGGGCATCTGATCTCTCAAGCTGCCCACTTGGCCCTCTTCCAAGTGTACTTTACTTCCTTTCATTCTTGCTGTAAAGCATTTTAATAAACATTCACTCCTGCGCTAAAACTTGCCTCAGTTTCTCCTTCTGCCTTATGTCTCCTCGGTCGAATTCTTTCTTCTGAGACAAGAAGTGAGGTTGCTGCAGATCCATATGGATTTGCAGCAGGTAACATACATCAGTTCCGCATGACTTGAGTACATTCCCTACTTGTAAGAGACCTGTACACAGTACCATCTTCGGCTGGAGACATTCAACCCCCATACAGTTTTCTTCTCCCATTCGCTGTCTGGCTTACTAATCAACCCTCAGAACAATTCCTCTTGGTCACAAGTGGCTCTCCTCCCCCCGTATGACCACTGAGATCACCTTGTGGGGGTGGGAAGGACCTTGGGGTCTGCACCGAGTGGACCTGAGGCACTAATGGCCCTCCTGGGCAGGAGGCTCACGAGAATGATAGGGTTAAAGCCTAAAACCGTGCAGTGCTTGGGGTTTCCTGTTTTTTCAACTAAAATCAGCTTTTCTCCAAGAAGCTGCACTGCCTATTCTTTTTGTGTGTGTGTGTTCTGAAATGGCTTTGTGCACGTGCTGGACTGTTCACCTTGGGGGCAAGTCTGCTTCTCTGTTTTCACTCTACATGCCACGTGACTTCTTAAACACACACTTCCTATTATTTGTGCGCCTGCGGCTTTTACTGTGTTTACACAGTAGCAAAGCCGGGATCCCCCGCAGATATCCCCTGAGATTTGTACTTGTTCTTACCCTACCAGCTCAAATGACCTCCAACCTTCCCCTCTGCTGGCACATTGTGGGGACAAACACTAACTGGAACTGCCGCTCTGCTAGCTCCTTACGACTTACCATATGCTTTCCATTCCAGCCCCATGGCTGAGTTTTCTGGTGGCTTTTGAAGCAGTTTGTCAACCTCCATAAAGGCTCACTCTGGCCCTTCAATGATTCCACCTACTTGCTTTTTGAGTTAGCACCCCTTTGGTAGGAAGAGAAATTCTTCTGCCATTTGCGAGTCCTTACCTCAAGCCCTAAGTCCTCTAGAGGTTACTACTTTCTGTCAAGAGGGCAAATAAACGTTGCCCTCTGGAATCAAAGTGCCGTTTTTGGAAGCATATAAAGGCTTTCCATGAGTATTTCTCTTGCTTCCTCCCAACTTCCTTCTGTAGCATCCATTTCTCTATTCCGTGCCTTTCTCAACATGCATCAAGACCTTCAAGGTCATATTTGAACAAAAGGAAGTCCAGCCCCCTTGTAGCAATTAGCTAAATTTTATTTTATTTTTATTTTTGACAGAGTCTCGCTCTGTTGCCCAGGCTGGAGTGCAGTGGCACCAGCTTGGCTCACTGCAACCTCCGCCTCCTGGGTTCAAGCGATTCTCCTGCCTCAACCTCCTGAGTAGCTGGGATTACAGGCACCCATAACAACACCCGGCTAATTTTTGTACTTTTAGTTTGGACGGGGTTTCACCACATTGGCCAGGATGGTCTTGAACCTCTGATGTCAGGTGATCCGTCCACCTTGGCCTCCCAGAGTGCTGGGATTACAGGTGTGAGCCACGGCACCCAGCCCCAAAGGGAAAATTCTCATTCTGCCCTCAAAGCATTTGAAGCCAATGGTGAACTGAATCAAACGAAAGTTGTTACAAAGCCCAGAACCAATCAGACTACAGGGCAACTGACTCAGCCTCCACTCAAGTGGCCTAACAAAAAAAAGGCATGCCCCCTTACTGAAAATAAATCTTATTTACTTCAGTCTCTACAGTCCTTTTACACAAAAGATCTAGCATAAAACCAACTAAAGGGAACACAAAATAGTAAGAAAATGTGATCTACATGAGACGAAACAGTCAATGGAAACATACTCAGAGACTGTCCAGATAATAGATTAGACGGGGACTTCACAATAATGATAAAAATGCTAAAGAATTTACTGGAAAATGTGGACAACATGCATGGAGAGGTGGGGAACTTCAGTGAATACACAGAAACTATTAAAAAGAGCCAAATGGGAAAATCCAGAAATAAAAAATCTGAATCAGAAATAACTCTCCTTCGCAGTCTGGAAACGGTAGAGGAAAAACAATAGTGAACTTGAAAACAGGAAGAGGTTCATATCTATAATCCCAGCACTTTGGGAAGCTGAATTGGGAGGATTACTTGACACCAGAAGTTCAAGACAAGTCTAGTTAATATAGTGAGACCCCATCTCTACAAAAAAAAATAAAAATTAAATTAAAAAATTAGCTGGGTGTGGTGGTGTGTGACTGCCATTCCAGCTACTGAGGCAAAAGAATCCCTTGAGCCCAGGAGGTCCAGTCCGCAATGAGCTATAATCATGCCACTGCACTCCAGCTTGGGCAACAGAGTGAGGCACTGTTTCTAAACAAACAAACAAACAAAAAAATGGAAAATAAAAAGTATCCAAATCAAAAGCAAAGGGACAAAAGTAATTTTTTAAAACATACATGAGATTTTCAGGATAATATCATATAATCTAACATACAAGGAACTAAATATAAAGTCTCAGAAAAAGAGGAAAAAAAAATGGGGCAGAAAAATTTTGAAGACATAGTGACCAATGAACTTTCCAAAACCGATGAAAGACCCAAAACACAGATCCAAATTGGCAAATCTAAGGATAAAACACATAAACACAGACAGACAAGCCTATCATCGTCAAACTGCTGACCAAATAAAAGGAATTGAATCTTAAAGGTAGTCAAAGGGGGAAAACAGACACATTACATTCAGGAGAACAAAGACTCAAATGACAGCAGATTTCTCACCAGAAACAACAGAGGACGGTGGCAATGGAACAATATCATAAAATAACTGAAAGAAAGGTGTAAAACCAACGACCTAGGTTCCACTTTAAGAGGAAAAGGACAGCAAATTAAACCCAAAGTGTTTTAAAAGGGAATCATAAAAATAAAACACTGAAATAGAAAATAGAAAAAAAAGTTAACATTGTTCTTTAATAAGCTGAATAAAACTGAAAAACTAATAGCAAAATTGATTAAGAAAATAAAAGAGCAACCAAAGGTATAATTAAAAAGGGGAAAGGAAGCATCACAATAAATCCTAGTTATTAAACGAATAGTAAGGTTACAATGCAATGTCAATAAATTTGGCAACTTCAGAAAAATCTTTGAATATCATAAATTGTCAAGAGTGACACAAGAAGAAACAGAAATACCTACACAGCCCTATACCTATTAAAGACATTGATTTTATAACCAAAAAATCCTCACAACAAAAATTTCAGTCCCAGATGGCTTCACTGGTGAAGGATCCCAAAAATTTTAAGGAAAAAAAAATAGAACCCTAAATAAATTTTTTCAGAAAAACGGAGGATAGAATACTTCCACTTGTTTTAATATTATCAAATCTACCATAATATAACATGACCAAGCCTGGTTTACCTCAGGAATACAAGATTGGCTTAATATTTGAAAAGCAATCCATGTAATACACCATATTAACAAAAAAACGGGAAAATCTGTATGATCGTCTCAACAGATGGAGAAAAAGAACTGGCCAGGCACAATGGCTCATGCCAGTAATCCTAGCACTGGGAGGCTGAGGCAGGCAGATCACCTGAGGTCAGGAGTTCAGGACCAGCCTGGCCAACATGGTGAAACCCCACCTCTACTAAAAATACGAAAAATTAGCCAAGGGTGGTGGCGCACGCCTGTAGTCCCACCTACTCAGGAGGCTGAGGCCTGAGAATCGTTTGAACCTGGGAGGTGGAGGTTGCAGTGAGTCGAGATTGCACCACTGCACTCCAGCCTGGGTGAGAGAATAAGACTCTGTCTCAAAAAAAAGAAAAAGAAATAAGAAGTTAGCCAAGTTAACAATAACCTTTTATGACAAAAATATTAAGCAAATTAAGAAAAAAATTCTCAATCTGGTAAAAGGCAGTTACTAAAAACCTAGAGCCAATATCAGTAATACTGAAACATTTAATCTCTTTCCCTTTAGACTGGAAACAAGACATGGACGTCCACTCTTACTACTTCAACATTGTACTATTGCTTCTAGCCAGCATGATAAGAAATGAAGGTATATTGGGAGGTTGAGGCAGGCGGATCATGAGGTCAGGAGATCGAGACCATCCTGGCTAACACGATGAAACCCTGTCGTCTCTACTAAAAATGAAAAAAAAAAGTTAGCCGGGTGTGGTGGCACGTGCCTGTAGTCTCAGTTACTCGGAAGACTGAGGCAGGAGAATCGCGTGAACCCGGGAGGTGGAGGCTGCAGTGAGCTGAGATCACGCCACTGCAATCCAGCCTGGGCAACAAACCAGACTCCATCTCAAAAAAAAAAAAAAAAAAAAAAAGAAATGAAGGTATAAAAATCAGAAAATTGTCATTACTCATAGATGATGAGATTGGTAGAAGAAAATTCCACAGAATCTATAAAATAGCTACTAGAATAAGTACACTTGGTAAAATTTCAGAATTCAACGTCAATATACAAATATATTTCTATATACTAACAATAAAAATCAGAAAATCAAAATTTTAAAAGCATTTGTAAAACATGTCGCAGAAAAAAATAACAAAAGAAATGCTTCTACATAGGTAAAATATCTCAAGAAGAATCACTAAGTAACAGATCTTGAACTTACTCCATTATTTAATACACACATAAAAGATACTAATAAAACCCTAAGTTAAAAATAAACTTTTACCTATTTCAAAGTTACTGCATGTAAATTGAAAAGACTTTTTCCACAGAAATAAAGTAGTAGGAGAGTAATGAGTAAGTCTAGTAGGAACAGCTTACCATTCATTCATTTCTCTCATTCATTCTTTTCTCTGGCACAAAGGAAGCAAGAAGAGGGAAAAAAATCTTACAAGCTATTTAGCTCAAGCTTCAGTTAGTCATTCTCAAGCTTAGGTTATGTACATAACTAACATGGGAATATTTTACATTTTGCTCATAATACAGTCCCTATCTCTCAGTTTAAGCATGTAAAATAATTTTGAGAAGCACTGTCAGCCAAAGATAAGGAAGTGCTAAAACATACAGAAAAAAAGTGCTAAATGCATTTTAACCACTCAGCATTCAGATGGAAAGGCCAAATAAGATTGCAGCAGCAAAATGTGATTATGAAAGTCAATTTATCACAAGTTAAGGGGATAAAGAAATAAAGAAAAATGTTTTAACCAATAATTATAGACTATTAACTCTTCTACCAGCTATAAAATTCATCAGGTTAGAATTACTATAATTCTTTTATGTGCAGCTCTATGGAGACAGCAATCTTGCACATAGCAACATTCAATAATACTTTAACAAGTAAATATTAATATACTTCAATGACCTTTCCCTCTCAAAGAAAAAAAAAATCTGAACTTAAGCTTTACCTAAACTGAAGATGCTAGGAGTAAAAATGGAAAGAAGTAGACCCAAAGACTACTTAATCTTCAAATAGCTCACATATCTGCTGTTCTGAAGTTGGGTAGATTCTATAGTTTTACCCAAATTATTGCCTCTTCCCTTGGTTTTAGGTACACAAACTTGAAATTTCAACTAACGCATTTAATAATCAGGTATATACTACACACAAAGCATTGTGCTAGATAATGTATATAATGAACAGGAACATAGTTAAATCTTAAGAGCTGGAGTCTGCTTTCAAGGGCCTGAGACTCTAATAATAAAGCTAAAATAACACGACTAAATAATTTAATGTACAAGTGATGAGTGTCATGACAACTGAAACCAGTGCTGAGAGAGAGGAGTCATGGTGGGAGGAGTCACTTCACCCAGCTGGATAGATCATAGGCAGCTTTCTGGAAGAACTGGAATCACACTTGATCTTTGACTTCAACACAAAGAAAGGATATAAAGACAGTACACCATAATACAACAAGGCTCTGGAATCAAAATGTCTTCTTTTGGATCCTGTCTCCATCACTTACTAGCTATGAATAAAGTATGCTAATTCATCTTCCTAACACCTATCTTGCACACAATGAATGTATAACAATTAACATATATTAATAGTAAGCACTCAATAAATGGTGCCCACTACTAATCTTCAGAAAAAAGAAACAGTAAAGTTTCAGAAAAAAGAAACAATAAAAAAAAATGACAGTGAATCACGAAAGTTCAGCTTTGCTGAAATTAAGACTCATATAAAAAGTAGAAAGATATAAATGGAAAAGATAATTTAAAGCAAATCATTAGCTTTCTTAAAGGCAAGCTAAAAAGTATGCAATTTATTATCTGGGAATGCTGAAGGTTTTGATCAAGCAATGGGATACAAACAAGGCTGGGCATCCATGTCAGAAGAACTGGAAGGGAGAAAGGCCTAGAGATAAAAACAGATTTGTTAGGAAGCAAACTGCAATCATTTAGATACGGAGTGTGAGCCCCCTACTAAGCAATGTCAGTAAGGATTATTAAGAGAGAACCTCATGACTAAGTGAATGGGAGGAAGGAGAAGCCAAAAAATTTCAAGCCAGCATAATTTGGAGAAATGAAATTAAAATAAGTGAATCCAGAAAACACTTCTTTTCAGAAATTAGTTTGAAGTTTAGATGAGCGATCCAAGCAGATATACAGCCAGCAATTAGAGATAAAAGCTTAAGACTGTGAAGAGTGGTTAAGTCTAAACATACTTATGTGAAAATAAATGCAGAGTAGAGGTTCTAGTTTGGAATCCATTAACAAGCTCAGAGTGAAAAGCTCTGAAATTCAATGCAAATGTGTATGTATTTGTAAATCCTAGGGAGACAGTCTTTAATCAGACTTTAAAGGATCTACAATATACACTCCAAAAAAAGTTTTTAAGAACCACTGGCATGTATTACAAAGAAAACCATTCATGGGAAAGGTCTTAGTCCGTTTGTGCTGCTATAACAGAATACCACAAGATGGGTAATTTATAAAGAAATTTATTGGCTCACAGTTCTGGAGGCTGGGAAGTCTCATATCAAGGTACTGGCAGGTTTGGCAATTCTGATTCCAAGATAGACCTTGAACACTGCATCCTCCGGAGTTCCTCCCATGGCAGAAGTCAGAGGTCTCCCATAGCAGAAGTCAGAGGGGCAGAGGCAAAACCTAACCTTTTATAAAGGCATTAATCCAATCAACAAAGGCAGAGCCCTCGTGACCTAATCACCTCTTAATACTTAACGAAATTAAATTTCAACATGAATTCTGGAGAAGACAAACATTCAAATCTTAGCAGTAATTAATGAAATGTCAGAAGTAAAAAATGGATGAAGAAAAAAATGTCAATGTAACAACACTGAAAAATACAATTAGAATCTGAAGAAAAGGAACAAAAGAGGGTAAGACTGACTTAAGAAAAGGAACCAACACATTAGGGATTCAAGGCAAGTAAGTTAAAAAGGTGGCATCAACACTGATGTTATACACGCATAGGGCAAAAAATATAAAACTTCAGGCAATAAATATAAATTGATTGGTAACACTGAGGTAAGTAATTTTGGTTGTAATTATATTACAACGAAGAAATTCTATTCCAAGACATTAAGAAGTAAATGGCTGAGGGCAAATTAACAAAAAATTAAAAGTCTGACTACTACTTCAAGATTTACCAGCGACAGGAACAGAAAGCTAGCAAGAAAGTGACTAGAAGCGTTTTATCTTTTGTTTTGTTTTTTGCTATTATTGCTGAGTTTTTCCTAAAGAATGGGAAATGGACTTACTATGCCAAAAGAAGCCAACTGAAAAGGAAAGGTCAAAGGAATCAAAAATACTCAAAAGTTCAGGAGTAAAAAGATCATTTAGCCAACCCAAAAGAATAACTCTTCCTATCAGACACGAACAAAAATAAATTTTAATGTGGTGAGAAAGGTGTAGTAACAAGTACAGGTGAAGGGGAAAAATACTACAAAAACCACAAAGATGTTTATTTCTTAAACTCTAAAGCACTGATAATCACGATGCTTTAGAACTTTGTTCTTTTACAATAGTAGCCAATACTATCAAAATGTCATAGTAAAAAAGTATATGCAGTAACAGAAAACACTAGGATGCTGCATTCTGTAGTAGTAAATTAAGAATATGCACACAGCTCTAGAGTCAAAAAGCCTTAGTTTAAATCACTGTGGGCAAATAACTTCATGCTTCAGTGCCTCAGTATCATCACCTGCAAAATGGAGAGATAACAATGCTTACCTCATAAAACTTGTAAGTACAATAATACAAAATGTTTAACAACAATGCATACAGTTTAGGTGGTAGTCACAGCAGGAGTGTTGGTGATAATTCTAACAGTAGCAACAGTAGTAATGTAGCCTATCTGTGTTTAATCAACCAATATCTAAGAAAGGAGGGGAAGGGCAAGGCTCACAAACATGTGTCCCATTCAACCCTTTCAACTATAGATGGAAATACTGTAATTCTTCCTATTATACCAATAAGGAAAGAGGAGGTTTCTTTGCCTAGACAGCTAATAAATGGCAGAAGTGAGATTTGAATACTGATCTGGACACAGAGATCTTCCTTCCACCACACACTTCCTCCACAGCACTACACAGTGGCAGAAGCACAACACTAGGCATTTTGTTCTTTACTACTCAACTCACAAAACCTCAGTACGTCATTACATCCACCTGCCCCTCAATTTTATTTTCTAAAAAATTAAAGTTTCATTAGATGTTTAGGTGTCTCTTCAGGAAAAAAAAAAAAACATGACTTTGATGTGTAAGTCCACCTAAAAGTTTTAAATACAGTAGAAAGTGTTTTCTGTTTTTTTTGTTTGTTTAAAAGTTTACTACAACAAAGGAGCTTAATTTTTTTTTCAGGACTTCTCATCATCAAAACGAAATGTTAGAAAAAAGACTAACATTTAGTTTCATATTATTGGCAAGTATGACTAAGCAAATCTTTGAGATAACAAAACATCAATCTTAAGCATTTCAAGATGACAATTTTAATAAAGTTCAAAATTCTCAATTTATGAAAAAGACATTGAAAATTATTTTCAATAATTTATGAAACTCAGAACCCTGATACATGTACAGAAGTTATGAAACAGTAAATACAGATATGCAGACTTCTATTTCACGCTGAAAACACAGCCAGGCTTTTTTTTTTTTTTTTAAACATCCATCTGAAAACCCTCTTGCCCTAAAACCCTTCACTGGCTTCCCACTATCCTTCAATAACATCCAAAGTCTTAAACATGACTCAACAAAGTCCTGTGTGATCTGGCTCCTATCTCTGGAGCTTTCCACTGCCATTCTTCTCCTTTGCTTTTTTCTATTTCTTTCAATTCCTCCAACATATCTTTTTTGTCCATTTTTAGGACCTCCATACAATCTGTTCACCAAACCTATAACGCTTTCACAGGTCTCCAATCCCATCCTTTTGCCCCAGCAAAGTATTCTTCATCCTTCCAAGCTGAGATAAACATTACACCAGGGAAGTGTTTCCTGATGTTCCCAGACTTCAACACCTATCTTTCCTGCTAAATGGTAAATAAAATGAAGTGAGTCATTTCATGTCTTGTTACCTACTATATCTTGCACACTGCTTAGCACAGAGTAGGTTAAGTACTCTTAAAATAAATGTTTGCTGAATTAACACATTCAAAATGTGGAGTAAGTCCAAAACCATGAAGTATTTAACCACCACAGGTAACTAAAAAGTTTTATGTAAGTTTCAAGTTACAGCTTACCCTTGGTCCTCTGTATGTTCCTCTCTCAAACAGAGGTCGTTTGGTAATTACAATGTTAAAGCAAAAAAAAAAAAAAATTCCTTTTAGATAACAGATCATAACATTTCACAAAACCAACGTTAGAAACCACTGATCCATAATTGGGATCAGCTTTTATAAGTCATCATACAAAAGAATCCACCTGAAATGCAATTAAAAGGACAAGAACTTGAATAAGGGCTCAATTTTACCACAGCTACACACATTAGAAAAGGACCAATTACAATTCCCAGTGTCTAGGCTCTACTAGCAGAGCCTTATTTATTACAACATAATGACTGCAGTGCTACAGCCATCGAGAGTAGGCTTTATGATACATGGAATATGTTTCATTAAGACTAAAGAAAAATTACAAGCATACACTCTAAGTAGCTACAGTCTTCTCATTTAGGTAAGATGGAGGGATACGGCAGTAAATCTAATATGAAACTGAACGCTTAAAGGAAAGCTATTTCAATCCAAAACATTTATAAGTTTTGTATTCACCTAATAACTACTGAATGCTAATTACACACCAGACAGTAGTCTAAGATTTCCTTAATATACACCCATTATTTTCCCAATTTTACAGTTGAGGAAATGGAAGCCCTGAGTTAAGTAACTTACCCAATATCATACAGCTGGTAAGTGGCAGAGGCAGAATTCAAAGCCAGACATTCTGCTCCAGAGTTCTCCTCACCGCTATACTATGATGCCCACTCTCCAATACACCGAAATAGGACTTCCATCTGCACAACTCTACTCCAGTGAAACTATTTTGCTAAGGTTACCAATGACTTCCACTTTGCTAAATCTAAGGGCTACCTATTTGCCTCCATTTTTTCATGCATTCTGCAGCATTTCATAAACTCCTCTCTTTTGCCATACACTTGTTTTTTAATGACATAAAGCCCAGTTTTCCTCCTGCCTCAGTACTAGGCCCTCTTCTCTTCCCTACCTACACACTTTTTCTATGAAATTTCCCACAATGTCATCGTCTTAAATACTATCTGCATGACTCCAGATTTCTCCAGTCCTGTCCTGAGTTTTAGACTCATATATTCAATGATCTGCTATCACACTTAGCTGTATCCCACAGACTTCATACTTACTGTATTTATTATTATCAAAACTAGCCATCCACTTTCCTTCTCCCCTTAACCTGTTCTCTGCCTTCTCTAATATCACCCATTCTGTTGCTTGGGTTATCTAAGGCACCACCCTTGATTTCCCTTTCCCTCATCTCCCGCATTTAATCCATTAATTTTACTTATGAAATGTATTTGGATCTGCCTGTCTCCACCATCACTCTAATGCAAACTAGCCACATCTCTGCCTACAACACACTTCTGAATAATCTTCTTACTTCCATTCTTGCCCTTTCAGTCTCTACAAAATAGGCAGAGTTAAAACAAAATTAAATCAGTCCTTGTCTGCTTTAAATCATCTCACGTCTTCCCATACATGATGTGGCCCCTACCTACTTGTCCAACTTGTTGCCTTTATATCCTCTCCCTCATCACAAGGCTCTTTCCAGCCACAGTGGCCTTTCTCTTCCTGAAACACACCACAATCACTTCTGCTACAGGGCCTTTCATTTGCTCTTCCTTTTGCAAGGAATGTTCTTTTCCAAGACTTTGACACACATGGTCCCTTCTCTTTAGATGTTACTCCAATGTCACCTTCTCTGAGAGTCCTTCCTTGACCAATGTGAAATAGCCCCCCTCATAATCACTTTTACATGATTCTCTATTATTACAATAGTCACAACTCTATTAATATCTGGATTTATTTATGTCTTGTCGATTTTAGAATTTAAAAGCTCTATCCCCAAAGCCTCCCGTAGTATACAGTAGGTACCTAATAACTTTATTAAATACGTGAATTTTCCCCATTGCATTATTGTAAATCAACCAATTCTGATTAAGCACTTTGGTCCATGTCATATTTTGTATTAACAAGTCGTCAAAACACTCCTTAAATTTTCCAATCTAAGACTATTTCAGCACTCTAACCGCAGCCCCCAACACAAAATCTATCTATAGCATCCCACTTAAAACTGCTAAATATTCCATATGGATGAAGATTCAATTTTCTTCCTCCTCTCCAAGCTAACGAACGCGTAGGCGGGAAAGGGGAATTTTACTGGCCACCTCAGCACCTGTTACATCTTCAATCAGTGAAGAGAGGTGCAGATGAGCCAGACAGCACATGGGAGACGTGGCCTTGCTTTCAGGAATTATATTTAGGTGAAACGTGAGTGATTTAAGCTAGAACTGCCCGAATCCCCAATAAAGGCCGTCTACTTCATTTAGAAAAACAAGGTAAAATAATCTGTAGGAAGTAAAATACAGTCGGTTTCACTAAAATAAACCGATTTTGAGGCCCCCGGAAAATATTGCGGGTGGGGGTTGGAGACGGTCTATATATAACGGGAAAACGAGAGCAGCTCAGCAATAAAATAAAGCTCGACTCAGGCTCTCGGGGGTATCCTGAATCTGGAAGCGAGGTGGACGAGGAGGAGAAGCCACAGAACCCTGGGACCTCCGTTCACCGCTTCGGCCTCCACCGCAGGCACTTGGGGAAACTGCACAGATCTCTGGGTCCGCCTATCTCCCACTGCCATCCCTGCAAAGAGATATCCCCCGGATACTCACATGGGCTCGAGAGTCTTGCTGAGCCAGGACTTGAGTGCCTCGAAGTTTTCAATGATCATTTTAGAAACCATCCACAGCGGCCCTAAGGCCCGTCACACTCCTCCGCCCGCCCAGGTCGCGGCCGCTACAGCCGCCGCTGCCCCCGCCCCCTCCTCCGCGCGCCGCCCGCGTGGGCCGCGGTGGGAGGCGCCGGTGGCAGGTTCCCGCGGGCCCCGGTCGGCGAACAGCTCTGCAAGGACCGCCGCAGGCCACAAGTGCACGGGGTGCCAGGAGCTCCCCGTCCCCGGCCCCCAGCCCGGGCTGAAACAGCAACGGTTTGCCCGGGCCCTCCCCCTTCCCTCTTCCCCAGCAAATCTACCCAGACCGGAAGCGCGACACGCGCTTAGACCCGAGCCTTCTCTCAGCCTCGGGACCAGGTGCTTGTTGGCTACGTCGAAAAGGCAAAAGTAAAGAAAGCGAAGGCGAAGGGCAGCTCAATGGGAACGATTCAGGGGGTCTTCCCGGCTCCCAGCACCCCCAAGAAGATGGCTGCCGGTAAATCTCGCGAGAATTGATGAAGTCTCGCGGTGGCTCCCGGAGCCTGCTGGGAGAGACGTAAGGTCGGCGGAGAATGCGCGGGTCGAGTGCTGTAGTTCGATTTTTGCGTGTGTGCGTTGCTTGCGGCCTTTGTGCCTTTTTATTCTTTGCTTACCTTTATGATATAAAGACCTTATTTCTTACAAGGAGGAAAAGACCGCTGACTTCAGAAACAGCGGGAACCCCAGCTCGTCCCCGGTAAGACGGCCGTGGCCTGTCAGCTGGAACGGTCCTGCCGGATGGATCGCTCTTTGAGAGCGTACACTCCCGCGTGCGCGACACCAGGCGGCCCGTAGGTTCCAGGTGCCGAGCACACTACCTCCTCAGTTTACCTAAGTGCCCTACCAGTATCATATTCTGTGTATGCTGTGATGTGAACGAGGTTTGTAAACACAGGCTGGTCTAATGGAGCCCAATGAGACCGCCAGAGGATTAGTGTCTTGTCCAACAGTACTTGACTTGCTGGTAGAGCCCTAATGACTGAGGGCTGCCCACAAGGGAAAGGTGAGAGAACCTTCACGTCTCTCAGGTAGTTTCCAGCCTGCACTTTCCCCCAGCTAAAGATAAGTTTTGTTATTTTTAAAATTCTCTTTATTTAGAGCAAATTCAGCCCTATCTCAGATCGGGAAATTATATAGTATCAAAAGAGAGAGTCTTCATATTAGCAACCCAAATAAATAAACTATTTTCCTGGGTGATCAAATAAGTTTGATTCCTGCTTGAGTTCTATTTAGATACTAGGTGGAATTTTACAAAGGGTCTACGTTCCATGAACTGTAATGGAATGAAAATATTCACAATCTAAAGACATTTTCAGTAAGTAGATCAATAAAAGCTCTTTATGAGAGACACCGATAGGCTAAATTGTTCTTAGGAACTCTTGAGTTTATAATTTGCTAGAGTGAAGTGTCTTTAAGGATTAGGTGGAAAGATTATGAACTACAAAGCAAGACATTTGTTTTAAAATACAGCATATAGAGTAGAATACAAATTAGAATCCAGCTACTGAATAACCAGGGTGTTGATTAAAGTGATTTAGCTGAGTGAAATAAACCAGACATGAAAGGACAAATATTATGATTCCACTTACATTAAGTACCTAGAGTAGTCAAAACTCCTAGAGACAGAAGGTGGAATGGTAGCAAGAGCAGGGGTGGAGAGGGTGCCCAGGAGAAGGGGAAATGAGGAGTTATATTTCAGTGGATAATAGAGTTTCAGTTTAGGATGATTTAGATTCTGGAGATGAGTGGTGTTGTGTGGGTTGCACAATATGAATGTACTTAATGCAGTGGACCATATACTTAATGAAAACGGTAGGTTTTATATGTATTTTACAATAAAAATTGTTTATAAATTTAATACTGCCGAAAGTTAAAATTATATTTGTTTAGTCTGTTTGTTGTAGCCTTGCCACAGGCTGACGCCACCAATATTTTCAACCTTATCACCAGCTACTCCATTACTCTGGCTCTCCACTTCAGCCTTCCAAAGCTTCTATCAAATACTGTATACCCCAGATAAACTGATTTGCTCACCCTCCCTTTCTCCAAACATTTGTTCACTTTATTTTCCACAGAGAACGCTTCTACTTCTTTCCCTGACTGCTCAAACTTTGCCCATCCATCTCTCATACCACTGTCACTGTCTTATTTAAAGTCTTTTATTCTTCCTAAATAATAGCAAAAGCCTTTTAATATCTTTGCCTTTTATGCTGACCTCCATCTCAGTTCATCTTCAGTTGCCCTCATCATCATTGCCTTTAATAGCAGTAATTCTAAAATTTTGATCTAATCATGTCACTTTCTTGCTTAAAATCTTCAACTTCCACATTATCTTTAGAATAAAACACATTATTTAACATCCTATAAAGGGACTTTCATAAATCAGACACCTTCCTTTTTGCCTAGAAACTCCTTTCAGTCTTTGCTCCAGCCATCCTAAACTATTTTGAGTTCCTTAAAATAAGTTGTTCCATGAAAAGGCCCTTTATGCAAAGTGCCCCCCAAACATCAAAGGAGAAATCAAATGAACAAAGCAGACAAATCCAGTTTGGTCAGTAAAGAGTGTTTTGTTGGGGGTAACTTACAGACAGAAGCATGGTCTTCAGTGGCAGCAAGACAGGTAGATGTCTGCCCTTTTACTCCCCAGACCAGTACTTACATGCCATAAGGAAAGGGTGTACGTACTCTATAGAGACATTTAAAGGCAACCCTCCAGACAGGCAAGAATGCTATATGCATCATAGCCTGTAATTTGTGTGATAACATCAGGGTTGCTTTGTTGTTAAACTAAGGACAGTAAATAAAGTAATAATCACAGGGCTGGGGTTAATCAGAAGGCAACATGACAAATTAGCATTCAAGAGGGAGTAAACGTTTGTCTCCACAGAAGTGTGTCCTCTCACTAAATTGAGCCATTGCAAAATGTGTTTCTCTACCTTTCATTTGATAGATTCCTACTTAAGCGTCAAAATGCAGTGCATACAGCATCGCCTTTGGAAATCCATCTTTGACCTCCCTTCTGTAAAGCGAGAGTCCCTCTGAGATTTTCTGACATCAGCCTGTGATTGCTTCTTTTATAGCACTCATAGCTTTATTTTTGCAAGTATGTGATTATCTGTTCTTTAGTGGATTATAGCTTTGAATCCCCCGCTTCAAGAACAGCTGCTAATATATACAGCCAATCCTTATTCACGGTGGTTCTGTAAAAAAGCCACAAATGCTGAATTAGTGAATATGGAACCATTGCTCCTAGGAGAAATGCAGGATTAGGTTCCTTCAAGCCTCTTATTAAATGTTTGTCAACCAGCCCATAAATACCTTGTTTTATGTGTGTTTCTTTTTAAAGGCACCTTATGTAGGAAAAAAAAAAATTTTTAAGGCACCTTATTTAATATAGTTGATTCATTAACATTGAACTCACAGCCAGTGGCACTATAACTCATGCTTACCTGGCGTATGTATTTTCTCTTTAAAAAGAAAGAAGAGCCTTCTGGCACTTAGGGACCCAGATAGCCTCATCACTACACTTGGGGGGCATTTTAAACAGTGAAATCACAAAAAGGTCAAAAATGCAACAAATGTGGCCTTAAATAGACCATGAAAAGGACACTTGTTTCCAGTGTGAGAGCTAAAACAGGAAGGCAGAGCATCCCCTTGTTTCACCAAAGCTGGGAACATGTGCATCAGGTGACTCAAATTTTTTTGCCTCTGTTCATGTCGACAGATGACTGCAAAAGCATTCCAAGTATTGATTTGGGCATTGCAAATAAATTTTAGCAAGTAGGCAAACTCACAAATACAGAATCTGTAAGTAATAAGGATTAACTATATTTTTTGAATGACCAAAGGAAGCCGTACCACTTCCATGAAACCTTTCCTGGCCACTGTGGCTGATAGCAGTATCTTCCTCCTCTAAATTTATGGTACAGTGCTTATTATCACTTCACAGTTAGTCATTTTTGCTTCCTAGAATGCTTCTCTTCCTTAACCATTAACATTTATCCTTCATTTATCCCTGCTTCATCTTCTTTGGCCCTGCCTTCAAAGGCGACAATTAGCTGATGTAATCATCAATTCTACTAAGAGAAGACTAAACAGCTGCTGTGGACTACTTTCTCTATTCAGTAACATGTACATTTTGGAATGTCCAGTATCAGGTTGCCTGCTTAACGTTTTCCAATACACCATGTTCTTTCAAGGCCATGTGACTTTATTAGCACTGTTCCTTTTGCCAGAATGATTTTCCTTATTGCTCAAATGTCAGTACCTCAATGATACCCTGGACAAAGGTCTAGCTCCCTACCTGTAGAACAGGAGTTAAAACATTTACTGGGAAGAGATTGTGAGGACAGATAAAAATAAAACATTTTATTTAGTTTTCTCATCTTTCTCGGCCTTGTGAGCTCTTTTAAGGACTGGACTCAAGTTTATTCCTCTTTCTACGTCCTGCACTTAACTCAGTGTCTGAAACTCAAAAAATGTTTATTGAAGACACATGCTTCGTTTTAAATAGGAAGGAAGCAGAGGCAGGAGAAAATATTTTAGATAGGCAAGAGAATGATATGCCCTCTAACAGATCTGTATTTCTTTATGGTTTATTACCATAAGTTGCCTTCATCTTTTAGCTGCACCAATCCCAGGAATATTCTCTATAGTGTGCTGAACTCCTCCTCAGGTTTTTCCAGCTCTCTCCTCTAGTTGAATACAGTCTTACTACTCTCAATAGTGCTTTTGAAGTCTTGTTTAAAAACAGTCAGCATTTCCGGATCAAAAAGAGATTCTGTATTTTCTTCTATTTCTTTTGCAGTCCATTACTCTACTTAGAATCACACTTAAGTATTTATTCTCTCTGTAATACATCCCTGTTTGTGGTGTAAAGTGAGGATCTAGGCCATTTTTTTTTTCTATAAGTCTACTCACTCAGTTTATTCTTTCCTGTTGATTTTTTTCTTTTTTTTTTTTTTTTTTTCCTGGGACAGAGTCTGACACCATCTCCAATGCTGGAGTGCAGTGGCGCAATCTTGGCTCACTGCAACCTCTGCCTCCCAGGTTCAAGCAGTTCTACCTCAGCCTCCCAAGTAGCTGGGACTATAGGTGTGCACCACCATGCCCATCTAATTAGAGAGGGCGTTTCACCATGTTGGCCATGCTATTCTTGAACTCCTGGCCTCAAGTGATCGGCCCGCCTCGGCCTCCTAAAGTGTTGGGATTACAGGCGTGAGCCACCGTGCCTAGCTTCCTTCCTGTTTGATTTTTGATGCCACTTATATCTTTCTGTTTTCATTTCATTTGTGTTCTGCTTCTGACCTATTTTTCAATTGGTCAGCTTGTCTGTGACTACTCCAGTACTATGTTGCTTTTATTTACTATTGTATTATAGAATATCTTAATATATAATAAGGCAAATCCCTCTTCTTTGCTCTTTTTCAAATTTAGCTTGGCTAAATATGAATCTTGGTCTGGCACAGTGGCTCACACCTATAACCCCAGCACTTTGGGAGGCCGAGGCAGGCGGATCACTTGAGGTCAGGAGTTCAAGACCGGCCTGGCCAACATGGTGAAACCCCATCTCTACTAAAAATACAAAAATTAGCCAGGTGTGTTGGCACACACCTGTAGTACCCAGCCCAGAGGCTGAGGTGGGAGAATCGCTTGAACCTGGGAAGTGGAGTTGTCGGTGAGCCGAGATTGAGCCACTGTACTCCAGCCTTGGCGACAGAGTGAAACTACGTCTAAATAAATAAATAAATAAATAAATAAATAAATAAATGTGAACCTTTAGTTTCCAAATACATAGAACAAGATTGTTGAACTTGTAAACAAAAAATTCTTCATCATTGAAGTTATGGATTAATTTGGATTGAATTGACATCCTACAGTGTATAGCAGTCACAGAGGTGTGCAGCTCAGATCTCCCTTCAAGAAAGGACTCACTGCCCAACTGCAAGGAGGATAGTTACCTGACAGCTTCCAGTTGTTAACTCTTTCTAGGTTCACCTCAGCTTTCAAGTTGAAGTTACACTGTTCTCAGGGAAAACCCTCTCCCCCATGCCCATCCGCAGCTCAAGACTGAGCAAGGGATAAGGACCTGCTCGATATTGGGATGGCAGAAGTATTGTCAGACCTGCATGGTAATCTAATGGCTCTCCCACCCAATTCTGCTTCCCCCCTTTCCATTTCACAGGTGCTACTTTCCAGTAAACTTTTTGCACTTTTAACCCCATCTCAGCATCCACTTCCCAGAGAACACCATAACACAAATTTAATCATCTGATTCATTCTATTTTTGTACATTTTAAAAATCGTAGTTAATAATAAAATTATAAGTATTATGAAAGAGGAAACTAAGAACCATTTTAGCAATTTAGACTGTAAAGGCTCAAGCATGGTTTCTCTAAGGATATGATATTTAAATGGTTAAGAAAAGTGAATAATGAGTAAAAGTCGAAACAAGAACATTCCAGCATACATAATAGCTTGTAGGATGTTCCTGAGGTAAAGAAGAGTCAGGATCTTAAGGACAGAGTGGTGGGAGGGTATCAAATTGGGGACATAGGGAATGGCTGTCAGTCAAGTTAGAGGTAAAAAAATTTCATGTTAAGATTTTGGAACTGGATTTTATTTAAAATAATGATGCGAAGCCATTGAAAGGTTTTTGGTGTGACAGGATAAATTTAAAATA
This sequence comes from Homo sapiens, assembly GCF_000001405.40. Taxonomy (NCBI): domain Eukaryota; kingdom Metazoa; phylum Chordata; class Mammalia; order Primates; family Hominidae; genus Homo; species Homo sapiens. The sequence goes on from NC_000013.11 coordinate 79,412,463, forward strand.
TGAACACACCAACGCATACTTCTTTTAAGAAAGAACCTGATTAAATTTGGGAATTTTAAAATAAAAACAGGAAGCATATCGTACTCTAATATAATAATTCAAGGGTTTTTATTTTCCTAGAAGATCAAGGTCATGTTAATAAAGGGAATATAGTTTTCTTATCTGTGTTAAGACACTGATGACTTGCAAAGAAAAGTAACACTTTTGTGATATCCTTAGGTAATTCAAGAGGAAACGCTTGAGCAATTACTGATGTTGTAAACTGGGATCAGAAGACATACATGGTATCGTATCCCAGGCAAGGCACAGTGGCTCACACCTGTAATCCCAGCACTTTGGGAGGCTGAAGAAGGCAGATCACTTGAGGTCAGGAGTTCGAGACCAGCCTGGCTTACATGGTGAAACCCATCTCTACTGAACATACAAAAATTAGCTGGACATGATGGTGAGTTCCTGTAATCCCAGCTACTTGGAAGGGAGGCTGAGGCAGGAGAATCACTTGAACCCAGGACGCAGAGGTTGCAGTGAACCGAGATTGCGCCACTGTACTCCAGCCTGAGCAACAGGGCAATAGAGCGAGACTCCATCTCAAAAAAAAAAAAAAAAAAAACCATACTATCATATCCCCCTAAATTGAACCAGAGCACTTCTGGCATAAAAAGCTTTTTTAAGGCCGAGCGCAGTGGCTCACGCCTGTAATCCCAGCACTTTGGGAGGCTGACGGGTGGATTACCTGAGGTCAGGAGTTTGAGACCAGCCTGGCCAACATGGCAAAACCATGTCTCTATTATAATACAAAAATTAGCCAAGCCCAGTGGCACACACCTGTAATCCCAGCTACTTGGAAGGCCGAGGCAGGAGAATCACTTGAACACAGGAGGCGAAGGTTGCAGCAAGCCAAGATCACGCCACTGCACTCCAGCCTGGGAAACAGACTGAGACCCTGTCTCAAAAAAACAAAAAGCTTTTTTTGTTTTTTGTTTTTTATGTGTGTGTGATGGAGTCTCTCTGTGTCACACAGGCTAGAGTGCGGTGGCATAATCTCAGCTCACTACAACCTCTGCCTCCTGGGCTCAAGTGATCCTCTCACCTCAGCCTCCTGAGTAACTGGGACCACAGGCACATGCCACCCACGCCTGGCTAATTTTCTTTTTGTATTTTTGGTAGACGGGGTTTCACCATGTTGCCCAGGCTGATCTCTTGAGCTCAAGTGATCTGCCTGCTTTGGCCTCTCAAAGTGCTGGGATTACAGGCATGAGTCACCACACCTAGCTAAAAAGCTTTGAGAGGCAATCACCAACTCTTCAGTGGGCACTGTTTATACCCATGATTAATTATGACTCCATCTCCATAGGTGCTGTGGAACTGTTTATGGATGTGGTTATGGTGGGTAATAACATTAAAAAGGTATATATACATATATTGCATGTTCATACGCACACACATGCAGACACTCACAAAGTCTCCCATACAAACTGTCAAATGAGGACAGGTAAGTGTCCTCAGAGGAAAAACATGTATGTAATATTATTAAAAATCATATTAGTGATATGATGTGATACTTGTGCTATCAAAATGATTTGAAATGGAATAAGGAGAGAGAGTAGAGTATCAATGAAATAAGATTGGCTATGAGTTGATTGTGGTTGAAACTGGATGATGGGGATGGTTATAATTCTTTCAGCTCTTACATATTGAAATTTTCCATAATAAAAAACCTTTAAAAAAAATCTGTTAAGGCGGAGAGACCCAGAAAACAAAAAGATCTCTGGGAAGGCCTAACAGACTGGCTACAATGGAAGTTCCAGGAAAGCAGAGATTTTGCCTCTTTTCTGCAAATGTATCTCTTGCGCTTAGAGAAGTTGATAGCACATGGCAGGTTCTCTTGTTGAATGAATGAATTGGAGAATAAAACCCGTAACCTAGGTGACAGTCTGTCAGCTCAGAGTCAAGAATCCTTGGGTTCACTCACCTGTCACTACAAATGGCATTTGTTAGTTATTATAAGAATAAATACTTAAAGAAAACCTATTCAAGAGAAAGCAGATTCATAAACTTCCACCATGGATTTCATAAGTAGGTATATACATGCTTATATGCATATGATCCCACCTAGAAAGCTGCTATCATATCATTTCATTTCATTCCTTTTTTTTTCAACAAATATTTATTGTAGAGGTATCTCTGTCTTTCAAGCCAAAAATCAGGGGGAAAAAAATCAGAAAAGAAATCTTATTTGCTTATTAATTGAAGTGTGGGAAGACACAGATAATCTTTTGAAGAAAATTCACCTTTACATATTGTTCTTAGTTCCTTAGTAGCCTTAGGACAAAACTGTTAAAAAGGTAATGATGTAGAACCTTAATTAGGGCTTTTGAAATTTGAAGCCATTTTTATTGGGGGCCAGAACCTAAGCCAGGAAAACAACCAATAACATTGCAATAACAAACATCAGGCATAATGAATGCCCTTAGGAGACACACTCTAAAGTTTTAAAGCTGCACTATCCCATTCCTCCAGACAACAAAGAGAAAAAACAATCTACATCACCCACAAACAATAGTGCATAAGTTAGGAAGAGGCTAGGTTTGGCTGCAGTAATGAACAACAAGGGTTCATTTCTCTCAAACCCTGCATGTCCATTACAGGTTAGCTGCACCTCTACTCCACGTGTTCCTCCCTTCAGGTCCCAGGCTGATGGAGTAGCCTCTGTGTGTTTGGGATGTTGTCAGTCATAATGGTGGACACAAAAGAGATTATGACAAACCGTGTATTGTCTCCTACAATTTCTGCTCACAGAAGTGGACAACATCACTTCTTTCCACATTTCATTGACCAGAGCAAGTCATGTGACCAAGCCTGATTCAAAATAGGCTGGAGCAAGGAGGAGCAGCAAACATAAGTGAGTTTATAATATAATCTACCATACAAGGTAAACCAGAATTTAGGAATGAGCTCAAAGCCTGCATTTCATGTAACTGCCAAAGCTCACACAGGATTTGACCTTCCTTCCCAGAAGAAAGAGTTGACTCCCTTAACAGCATCGGGCTGGACCAATTCCTGGCTGTGGAAGCAGCATCCATCACAAACTGTTTTCATAGCAAATGAATAGTAAACATAGGGGTAGAACAAACTACACTGCCACATACCATAGCCACTAGCAATGTGTAGCTGTTAAGTTCTTGTGGCTATTTAGAATTGTGGTGTGCAGTAAGTATAAAATGTGCATCAGATTTCAAAGCCTTAGAAAAAACGTGAACAATGTTTTTCACTTGTTCCTCAACAACCAGAAAGTAAAATATCTTAATTTTTACATTAATTGCACATTGAAAGAATATTTGGATATATTGGCCTATTAATATACTAAATAAAGTATATTAATAAAATTAATTTCACTTTTCTTTTTTTTGAGACGGAGTCTCGCTCTGTTGCCCAGGCTGGAGTGCAGTGGCGTGATCTCTGCTCACTGCAACATCTGCCTCCCAGGTTCAAGTGATTTCTCCTGTCTCACCCTCCTGAGTAGCTGGGATTACAGGTGCCTGCCACCACACCTATCTAATTTTTTTGTATTTTTAGTAGAGACAGGGTTTCACCATGTTGGCCAGGCTAGTTTTGAACTCTTGTCCTTAAGTGATCTGCCCGCCTTGGCCTCTCAAAGTGCTAGGATTACAGGCATGAGCCACTGTGCCTGGCCCTCACCTTATTATTATTATTTTTTATTTAAAAATGTGGCCCCTAGAAAACTTAAAATTACATATGCAGCTCACATATTTTTATTGGACAGTGCTTTCCTAAAATGTAAGAACTTTTTTCTCTCCTTATGTGAAATAAAGGAAAGAAATAAAGAGCTCAGTGTATTAATAGAGTAACTCTTAGTCCTCTTACTCTGTACTGCTTTGGTATGTTTTAGAATGCTTCTATGAAACTACTGCTGAAAACATCATTGGCGTTTGTTCAGTTTGGGAAGCTCAGGTGTGGTAGGGCCCAGGGAAGGAAGAGTACCTGCAGGGAGACCAGCCAATACTGAGAGCAAAGTGGGGGCTACCACCCTTCCTTTTGTGAATTATTAAGTAAGAATAAACACTTACCAGCAGATGAATTACAGGATAGAGATGAACACTCATCAGTAGTGTGAGGCCCCATAGCTTCTCTGATCTCTCTCACTAGAGAATATTAAGAGGTATACCCATTCTAGTTCAAGAAGGAAGAGCCTTCTACAACTGGCTTACATGAGTAAGGAAAGGCTATAATTAGATTTGTGTGGAGAATGTATGGGGCTGAGGTGGGGGTAGCCAAGAAAGATACAATGGGGAGTGGTAGAAGAAGGAAACAATTAGGAGAATATTGTAATGGTCCATGTGAGATGTTGGAAGTTTGAACTAGAGTGTTAATGGTGTTGATCTTTTCAAAGTTGTTAAAAAAACAACTATTCAGCTCTATCATTTGAAGATCTGCTTTCAGCCACCATTCTTTCCTTTTCTCTTTATAGGCAAGCAAGAGTTGTTTGTACTCATTGTCCCAGGTTCCTCTCTTCCATCACTCCAGTTCAGTATGAACTAGCTTCTGTCTCTATCATTTTACCAAAACACTTCTTGCCAAGGTTATCAGTGACTTGCTTTTCGCTGACACTGACCAAATGTAGTATCCACATTTAGTCTTGTGTTATTTGATCAAATATAACATTTGACAACATTGTTCACATGTTTTTTTCTTGAAACACTTTTTTCCCTGCTATTTTTATTGCATCACAATCTTCTTGGGTTTTTCCCCCTGATTTTTCTGAATACTGTAATGTATCCTTCTTGAACTTCAACCACACTTCATATGGATGTGCCTTGGAATTCCTGTTGGTCTTTTTTCAATCTAAACATGATCCCCAACCCATCTTATCTATTTTTACTATTTCAACTCCTATATCCATGCTGATGTTTCCCAAAGGTCATTACTTGGATGTCTTCTAGGCATCTCAAATCAGTCTCTAAAACTAAACTCATTATCTTCACTAACCAATTTTGCCCCTTTCCTGTGATATGTAACTCATAGAAAGCCACCATCATCCAATTGCTCAAGTCAAAAATCTAAGTATCATCCTTCTCCTTTTACCACTATCCAATTAATATCCCAATGAATATCTATTGAGTCTTCCTCCTAGGCATACCTAGAATCTACTCATTGTCATTCAACCCAGATGATACACTGCAGCCAAAGAAATCCATTAAAGCCCCCTCTAATCATGTAAACCCTTATTGGCTCCCCATATCCCAGGCTAAAGTACAAATTTATTAATTGTAATACTTAATTGAAATTAACTGTGTTTTATGGTATTAAGCACTGTTCTAAATGCTTTACATTTATTTATTCTCACAATTTAGCATTCCCAGTTTACAGCTGAGGAAATTAAGCTTCAAGTTGCCCAAGTTTATAGAATGAGTCAATGGCAGAGGTTGAACTCAGGTCAGTAATCAACACCACATCCTTAACCACATGCTTTCTTACATCTTTCATTAATTGACACCTGCCTAGTTCTTAAGCTTCTCCCATTCTCCACTTTTTACATTCTACAATGGTGCCATACCATGTATCTGCAGTTCCCAGAACAGTACTGCATTATGCAATAGATGAACTGGTATATGCTGAATAAATCATCAACACAGAGGCATGAATATATTTTTAGAGTATTTATTATTTTTTAAATGATGAGAACATTGGAAAAATCAGAAAGACTTCCCTACATGTAGTTTTATAGTTAGCATTATTTTTATTTTGAATTTCAAGTGGGAAAGCACTATAATATTTTGGTGCATAGAGCCTGTAAATTCCTTAATCTATTTCTACAAACAAGCCATGGTGTCCGTCATTGTACTCTTTGCACAAAGAGCCCCTTCGGTTTAGAACATTTACCATGCCCAACCCTATCCTTCATCTAACTCCAGCACTTACCTTAAAAGTCGCTTTCTCCGGGAAACCTTCCCTGACTGGGCTGAGTGTTCACAGTGTTTATCCCTGTTACAATTACATCACGTTGTATTGTTAAAAGATTAGGTTCCTTGAAGGCAAAAGCTTTTTTTACCCACTGTTTTATTCCCCAAATCTAACATAGAATAGATAATACATTTTTCAACAGTCATTTATCACTTTTTTCCTACATTATAATTACCATTTTTGAAATGTTGATTGACACTTGTCTGACTCTCAAGGTGCCATGAAGTGAAACATTAGTCCACAAGAAAGGCTGTTTTTTTTTTAATGGTCTTTCTTTGATATTTGTAAATCTCCCATAGAAAGAGGAAAAGATAAAATGAACTAGTTTTTAAAAAAGTATTAACAGGGTTGTTTTTTTTTTTTTTTTCTGAGGCGGAGTCTCGCTCTGTCGCCCAGGCTGGAGTGCAGTGGCGCCATCTCGGCTCACTGCAAGCTCCGCCTCCTCGGTTCACGCCATTCTGCCTCAGCCTCCTGAGTAGCTGGGACTATAGGCGCCCGCCACCACGACCGGCTAATTTTTTGTATTTTTAGTAGAGACGGGGTTTCACCGTGTTAGCCAGGATGCTCTCGATTTTCTGATCTCGTGATCCGCCCGCCTCGGCCTCCCAAAGTGCTGGGATTACAGGCGTGAGCCACCGCGCCCGGCCCAGGGTTTTTGTTTGTTTTGCATTTTAAGGAGCTAGAAAGGTAGAGGAGGCTAAACGCCATCTACATCTCAGGGTTTTTGTTTGTTTTGCATTTTAAGGAGCTAGAAAGGTAGAGGAGGCTAAACGCCATCTACATCTCAGGGTTTTTGTTTGTTTTGCATTTTAAGGAGCTAGAAAGGTAGAGGAGGCTAAAAGCCATCTCTACTCATATTTCCAAACACCTGGTATTACAGTAATGTCCTCTCTCACAGTTTGTTCACACTTCCCATATTCAGGGCTTTGAGTAGTGTCCTCCCACACTGATTCTGGATTTGTCCAAGTGATTTACTTTGCTAGTGAGATTAAGGTAAATATGATGAGATAAAAATAAATGTGATGCAAGAAACAACTTGAAAAGTGCTTGAATGCTGAGGCTGCCATGTGATGAGGTCCCAGTAAGATCCAGCCTGACAACCACCAGGCATGTGAGTGAGACCATCCTAAACCAACCAACTTGCACAGCTAGTGCAAACCAAAAGAACTCCCCAGCAACTCACAGAATGGTGACAAGTAATAAATGTTTTTAAGCCGCTAAGCCTGGGGTAGTGAACATTGATACAATGCCTAACACACACTGAGGCTCATGACCTCTATTGACATATATTTTTCTTATAACATAGCTTGTAGTTCCATTCATTCAACCAATATCCGTAGTCGATTTACTTATATAAGAAGAAATTCTTTTTTTAAAAATGAAATTAAAGTAACTCATTGCATCAAAGGAAATGCTGAATAGGCTTCCAAGGCACCAGCAACCATAAAATCTCTAGGAATCAGAGCTGCCAAAACTTGTTCAGTCATGGACTTTTTCTATAGAATGCTCCTGCATTCAGCTTACTCAGTAACAATCACCCACCCTGGGTGTTGAGATACAAATTATCAAAATAGAGAATCTAATTGACTTTGCTTAAGTGTATGCCTATCACTGAGTAAGGAAGAGGGATTTATTACAAATAGAAGTTGGGAGATCACTTGGCATGCTAAAAGTTGTGACTCTAATAAAGATAATACTTTAACAAGAACTAGATTCTAATTCTTTTTCTTCAATAAACTAATAACTTTTTGCATGTAATTTTCCAGAAGGTAGATATTAATTTATGAGATGGAGAGCTGTATGTTTGAAAGACAAATTCAAATCACAAACAAACATACAAGTACACAAAACATCAAAACAAACCTAGTGCAAATTATCATTATATAAGACTTTCTGGAGGCTGAAAAACAATAATGATCTTATAAGGTCTTATAAGGTCTTGTAAGGTCTTGTAATGATCTTGTAAGGTCTTATAAGATCTTATAAGGGTTTTTCCATCAATTTCAGATTCTTTAGATTCACACCGTGTTCTATTTCCTCTTGAGTTTCCCTAACCCCTACAGCCTCTACTCCCTTCTCCTTCTTGTGACCTCTTCTAATACTTAACTGACCAGCTACTTCTTTATATGAATTTTTTTTGCCAAGTAAGTTTTAATCTGTTTCAGATAAGAATTCAGTTTTTATTTTTTTGTATCCTTTTATACAAAAAAATATGATTTTTTATACGATTAGTATTTTATTCAATAACTGTTTAAAAGTATAGAAACTGAATAGGAATTTAAGAATAACCTAATTCAGTATCTTCATATTTACAGATGACAAAATTGGGGTCTGGACGTGTGCAAGGACTTTTCCAAAGTCAGCTGGAAAGGTAATAGAAGACACAAGTTACCTGCTGTAAGATCCAGGGCCGGATTCAATTCAGGCTTTGTTAATTGACAGAATGTGATAGCTATTTAATTCAGGCTTTGTTAATTGACAGTGCAATAGCTATTTAATTAAAAGTAGACTGAAATAAAATGCTAAAATAAAAAAGCTAACCACAAAATAGCGATATTAAATCACATTATTATTTATGCATTAGTTCATTTCCTCAATATTTGGACTACAAATATATGAATATATCAACAAAAAATTTAAAATGGAATGTCTCTAATAAAGGATACAAATAATAGATACAAACGGCCTTGGACATTTTGGTAATTATGATTTGATAGGTATGAGACCAAAATGCACAAGGCTGTTGGTCCTCCTCCTTTTTTAAGTATATTTTGCCATTAATTTAAAGTTAGGAGAAAGTTTTAAAAGGTTTATAGATGGCCCAAAGGCATGAATACGAGAAATGTTGGCCTTTGTTTGTGCTTTTTCATGAAAAATACTTAAACCGAAAAGGAAAGAAATTATTACATGAGATTTGTTGTTCTTTCATTTTCTCAAATAATGGATGTCTTTAAAACATTTTCACCTAATTTTAGTGACTTTGTTTTTTTTTTTTTGGCAATAATATAAGATTACTGTCTCGTGTGTGTGTGTGTGTGTGTGTGTATATAAAATACAGAAGATTCTTGAAAAATGGCAACTTAGCCATAACTCCCTTTCCCTCTCTTCCATCTCTAAGACATTTGCCTCCCTTGAGCCAAATCCTTGCCAAGGCCTATAGGAAGGTAGGAGAAGGTGGGACCTTGACCTGTGTTGGGGACTCTGCTATGGGAAGTAGGTTCACGACTTGCTCCCCCGTGGACTAAGCAAACAAATGAAGAACAGTGGTATTGGTGGCTTCTGAACTTCTTAATCCTGAATAGTTTGGTTTTCACAGATCTCTGGGAAGACACCCTCCCTTCAACAAAGTTGGTATAGCACCATATGAGAGAGTCTTAGATTTCATTGACTCCCAAAAGTCCAAGAAGTTTAATGGGGATAATGAGTCTTCCCTGCTTATATTAGTTATCTGTTGCCATCTAATGAATTACTCCAAACCTTAGGGGCTTACTTAAAGCAACAAACGTTCATTACATCACAGTTTCTGTGTGTTATGATTGCAGGAGCTGCTTAGCTGAGAGGTTCTGGCTCCAGAGTCTCCTGTGAAGTTGCAGTCAAGATGTCTGCTGGGACCCCAGTCATTTGAAGCCCTGTCTGGGGCAGGAGAATCTAGGTCCAAAATGGCCGTTGCAGGAGTCCTTATCCACACCATGTGGGACCTCTTCATAGATGTTCGAGTGTCCTCATGGCATGGCCACTGGCTTTCCCCAAAGTAAGCAGTCCAAAAGAGGGTAAGACAGAGCCCACACTGTCTTTTATGAATTAGCCTTAGAAGTCTAACACGGTTACTTCCACCACATTCATTAGTCGTTAGGTACAGCTCACATTCATGGGGAGGAAAATCAGGGCCTGTCTTTAGATAGGAGATGTATCAAAGAATTTGTGGACATATTTTAAAATCACAGCACTACTCTTGATGTACTAAGTCAGTGACTCCCCCAGGAGTCTCACAGAGAATTGACTCCTTGCCCACCTATACTACCTTTGTGGGTAGAGACTCCAGTAGTGTGCTGGTTAATGTTCAACCAGTGGCTTTCTAGAAAACAAAATGTATGGATACATATATATGTTCTAAGTTTTACTGATATGAAGAATGTGTAGCACAGAATTTATAAATAATAAAATATACAGTATTATTTATTGTAAATTCCATAAAACCTGTTGTTTTTCACAAAAGGTTTTAGTTTATTTTTCCCAAATGCTTGTATTGGTAACATTTTCTGTATTACCTTTTTATGTCCAGACAATCAACAAAACTGAAAAAGCCCAGCCTTGTAGCATTTGCCAGTTATTGTGTAAATGTCCCCACTATGGTGGATTTCAGGTTACCACTATGATATCACAGAATGCAGAATTGGAAGGAGATTCACAGCAGCACCCCATTATACTATATTTTCACCATACAGATGCAGTCGATGTAAATTACCTGAGGAGCATAAATAATAATAAAATGAAGTTAAATAATTCGGAAATGATTTTGAAAATTGTGTTGGTTTTTAATGTAAGTTTATATGTCAGCTTTAATAAAATCTGTCTTTAACAACTAGCTTGAAGAATTCTTGAAAAATTAATAATCAGCTCTCATAGGCTAGTGACAACTGGCTTCAGTGCACCCCTGACTAGAAACACCTTTGCTTTCCACCACATGTGGAATTCCCAGTATTTCAACAATCAGAATTGAGCTTATGAGCCAACCAAGAAAAATAACATCTTATATAAGAGACAGCAATTTGAGAGAGGAATATCAGTCAGAAGAAACAAGGGGAAAGTCGAACTTGTAAAAGAGAGATGAAAATTTGAATTTTTTTAAAGGCATCCTTAAGCATATTTAAGTACAACACAAAAAGTTAAAGAATTTAGTAGATAAATAGAAAGATGAGATGATTACCACTGAGACACAGATCAATGATCTGGAAGATAAAAACAAATCATAAAAATAAAAGTATCTTGAAATTTTGCAAAGTACATCATAAATCAATGCATCAGAGATTATGTGTCATGACAAAAAAATTTATACTCAGAATGATATGTCACTGCTTACTATGCAAATATTTTCTATTTCTCCTAGCTTCAAACTATGCATATGGGCCAGGCGCGGTAGCTCATGCCTGTAATCCCAACACTTTGGAAGGTCAAGGTGGGCAGATCATTTGAGGCCAGGAGTTTGAGACCAGCCTGGCCAACATGGTGAAACTCCGTCTCTACTAAAAAATACAAAATAATTAGCTGGGTGTCGTGGAGCATACCTGTAATCCCAGCTGCTCCGGAGGCTGAGGCACGAGAATCGTCTGAACCCAGGTGATTCTGCACTCTACTTGGGCTCTGTCTCAAAACAACAACAACAGCAACAACAAAAACTGTGGTATTTTTAATGAACTAAATATTAATCTGCTAACACAGCATAGGTTTTATGATTACTGCAATTCAAAAGTCATAATAAATTTTAAAACAAATCCTCCTGTACCTGTTGTGGTGCATGCAGAAACTTTTCCTGTTCAACACACTTATATGGCACTATATAGGGATATACCAAATAGCTCAGGTACATAGTGAATACAACTTTAACACTTATATTGAAATGCTAATCTTACTTGCCAATATTAGTGGCACATTAGCATAATTTAACTTTTATAAAATTATGGAAAACAGTTTAAAATTATTCTCCCTAATATTAGCAAATTGCATTAATGGCATGTACCGTGTGCCAGTTTGTTTCCAAATAAACAAAATGTACCTTGATATGCCACTTCAGAGCCAGCAGAGGGAGCTCATACTTTTTTATTGTTTTCAACTTACTGAAGAAAATTTGCTTTTAAAAGCTACTGTGTTATAACCAATGAGAACCAAGAAAAAGGAAAAAAAAAAAAAAGCTACTGGATTCTGAAAAATAATGTAGTTGTTATTTAAATAATAAAAATGTATTAGTAAACAAAAAAGTCATACTTTAGGTTGAAATAATAAATCAATTCTAAATAAAAAGATATTAATGATATTTTATGTAAAAATGTCAATTAAAACTACATAATTTCAAGGTTTTTTTTTTCTTTTTCTTTTATTATAATTTTTTTAGAGACAAGAGTGTCGCTCTGTCACCCAGGCTGGAGTGCAGTGATGTGATCATAGCTCACTGCAACCTCAAACTCCTGGGGTAAAGCAATCCTCCTGCCTTAGCTTTCTAAGCAGCTAGGACTACAGATGCATTCCACTATGCCTGGCTAATTTTAAAATTTTTTTGTAGAGACAGGGTCTTGCTATGTTGCCCAGACTAGTCTCAAACTCCTGGCTTCAAACAATCCTCCCACCTCAGTCTCCTGAGTTGGGGTTACATGTGTGAGCCACTGCACTCATCTGCACTCAGCTATTCAATTTATTTTTCTAATAGCCTTTACTAAAAAAAAGAAATGTTTGTAACAGAGATTTCTGGGGTAAACTAAAATGGAAACCTTCCAGCTACAAGCATAAAACGTAACAGATAAAAAATGACAAATATGACACACTTCAAATTTAATTCTTACACATGAAATTAAACACATAATTTAAATACATTCCCATTCACTCAATTCTCAGCCCTTCCAAAGACACAGATAAATGCCATTATTAGTTTCTTCTTCTTTTTTTTTTTCTTTTTTTATTTTTTGAGACAGAGTTTTGCTCTTGTTGCTCAAGCTGGAGTGTAATGGTGCAATTTAGGCTTACTGCAGCCTCCATCTCCTGGTTCAAGTGATTCTCCTGCCTCAGCCTCCCGAGTAGCTGGGATAACAGGTGTGCATCACCATGCCCAGCTAATTTTTTGTATTTTTAGTAGAAATGGGGTTTCACCATGTTAGCCAGGCTGGTCTCAAACTCCTGACCTCAAGTGATCCACCCGCCTTGGCCTCCCAAAGTGCTGGGATTACAGGCGTGAGCCACCACATCCGGCCCATTATTGGTTTCTTATGTATCCTTTCAGAATTTCTTTATGAATATACAGACATATATGAACATAAAATCTTATTCTAATCGAATTTTTCTTATGCAAAAACAGCATATCATATACACTATTCTGTATCCTGCTCTTTTTACTAATATATATTGGAAACATTCGCGTAAGTCTATAGTAGAGACCTTACTCCTTTTTTTTAGGCATGTGTAGTGTATAGCAGACAGATTGTAAGAATATATAATAATTGATCTATTCCCACTTAATAAATTTTTTTAGTTGTTTCCATTTTCAATTACAGAAAATTCTCCAATAATGAACTTGTATATATTTGCCATTTTCTACATGTGAAGTCTATGTGTCTGAAGGATAAAGTCCCAAAAGTGGGATTGCTAGGTAAAAGGACATAAGCATTTGTAATAATGATGGATATTGCCAAATTACTTACTATGAAAATTATAGCTACTTATACTCCCTCAGGAGCAATATGTCTATTTCCTCACGATATTGCCAACTGAGTCTTATCTAACTTTTGATGTTTGCCAGTCTGATAGATGAAAAATGTGTCCTCTAAGTATAATGTACTATTCTTATTATGAGTGAGTTGAACATCTTTTGAATATGTCAAAGCCATTTGTATTTCCTTTCTGTTAACTTTCTGCTCATAGTTTCTGCTCACTTTTGGGATCCTTTCCTTGTTAATTTGTAGAAGGCCTTTATTGAGTAGGGAGATTAGCCCTTTGTGATATGTGTTGCCACTTTGTTAAGTCATTTGTCTTATGTTTTTTATTTGACATGCAGAAGTTTTCATATATACGTAGCCAAATTTATCAATTTTGTTTAATGCCTTTTAGATTTGGGGTCATAGAAAAGCCATCCCCACCCCCATATTATAAAGAACTCTCCCATGTTTTCTTCTAGTATTTTCTTGTTTTATTAAATTTTCATTGAAATATTTAGATTTGGACTTTATTCACAAATAAAGTACAGTGTGAGTTAAGGATCCAATTCTGTTTTTCCAAATGGTTACCAAAATGTTCCAGTACCACCTATGTCAAATAGTAAGTTTTCTTATGCTTCTGATTCTATTTCTGTAGTTTTTACTGTAATCATTGGTGCTTATATAATTTGTTTTATTGCTCTGTAATTCTGGGCCTTCTTCATTGCTCTTCCTTTTCAGAGCTTTCCTGGCTATTTGGCTGTTTATTTTTCCATATAAGTTTTAGGATCACACTGTGTACTGAAAACAAAGTTGATATTTGTTACTTGCTTTTTATTAGTATTTTAAATAAAATTTGTAAAAGTGTATATATATATAAAATACTAATTCTTTTCGATTTTTAAATGTCTTTCAGAGGCAATTTACAGTTGTTTATATACATATATTGCATTCTTTTTAGTTTTATCTTTTTTGTTGCTATTATAAATTGGATTTTTAAAATTACATATTATATTGTAATATGTATATAAGAAAGCTCTTTATTTTCTACCTCACTACCCTACTGAATTTTTCTATTCTTATCTTGGATTTTCTATGTACTAATAGTAATACTAATAGTCATAGTTTTAAATTCTTTCCAATTTTGTACCTCAAATTTATTTCTCTTGTATTATTTATTTTTTCAGTAGCTAGAGTACAATAATAATTATAGCGATGAGAGTTGGCAGACTTGTCTTGTCCCTGGCTTTAATGAGAAATGATTGTAAAGTTTGATCATAATTATGATGCTAACTTTTGGTCAGGGATAAGTATAATTTTCATTTTAAGGAAATATCAATGGATTTATATTTCATTAAAATTTTTTAAATAATAAGTAGTTGTTGAATTTTGTCAAATGCCTGTTCACCATCTGTGGAAGTCATTATATGATTCAGGATTATATGATTTTTCATTGTATATGTATTAATATTATATGTACTAATAAAGATCTGTGAAAGTTGTCAGAATCAAAATGGGAGTTATTTGTGTTAAAACCCTGACAAATGGAGTCAGGGAAGGCCATGAAGGGAGAGTTGTCATGCATGAATGCCTGACAACAAGAACTATCACAAAAGACTGCAAAAACCACAACCTTGCACAAAGGGCATTGCAATCTTACACACAAAAAAATACTTCTGTGAGGTTGTCTGCCCAGCAGCTGCCTGTCCAATCTCAGACTGGTGTCACTCTTGTTATCGATCCTTGTAGCCAAGGATAATTATCTCAAAACAATTATTTAATCCTCCTCATTTTTCCTTTAATAAAAAACCTTTTTCTTTTTTTAACTCCTTGAATACGCACATAGTTTACTGTGGCACATGTATTCCCATTGCAATATCCATTCTCGAATAAATAGCATTTTTTTAAGGAGAGCCTCTCTCTATGTTATTTAGGTTGACAACTCTAATATTGAAGCTTTCTTGCATTATTGGAATAAATCCCAAATGGCGATAGTTTTTTTTTTATTGCCATGCTGGGTTCTTTTTTATATCATTTGTTTAATATTTTGTACCGATATTCATATAGATAACTATACAGGTTTCTGTGCATTTTTTTTCAGATAGTGAATCAGTATTTACTCACTTTATAAAAATGAACTCAGTAGTTTTTTTTTTTCTTGCTCTGGAACATTTTAAAACAGCACTGGAATTATATGATCTTAAAAAGTTTAGTTAAATTCCCCTAGAGCTGTCTGGATCTGGGCCTTTTGAAGAGTTAGGTCTTTACTTCCTCTATTCTCCTATGGTAGTTGATCTCTTTAAAAGTTTTCTGTCTTCAGAGTTCAGCTTTCATAAGCAACTTTCCTAGAAAATTATACTTTTTTTTTCGGGTGTTCTAACATTTTGGTGTAGTTTTAAGCAAACTAGTCTCATGATTCTAAGTTCTTCTGTTTCTTACTTATTTTCCTCTTTATTTTATATTCTTTTTTTCTTGATTATCTTAGCTAGTTTACTTAACCGATTTTTCAAATTATTCTATAATTGTATTCTTCGGCTCTACTTTTTCTTTTAGCTTTCTAACTCACCAATTTTTGTTTTTATCTGTGTTAATTCCTTTCTTCTGCTTTCCTTTGCTTATTTTGTAATTCCTTGTCAATCCTTTGAGTAAAATGCTTGATTTACTTATTTTCATTTTTATTTCTATAACCATTAATGCTAGACATTTTTGTTCTCAGAATTGATGGGAAAATTGTTTTAAAATCCTAGTTAAGCTTGCAACAAAGTACTATCCCACTAGTAACAGAAATGAAAAAGAAAATTCAAATCAGAGTCATAAGGGCATGAGCTGAGGCTTCTGGCAGCCATGGTAGAAAGGAGGGAATATCTCATAAATCGAAACCTCAAGCCTTTACTTATGTAGGTTTTTAGTCTTTATTTATATTATCTGTGTATGTGTGTTATGAAAACTCATTCCAAAAAACTGGACTAAAACTAGGTTGGTGATATATCTGGCCTGGATACTTCCAACACTTCAAAATCAGGACACAATGGAATTCCAACAGAGAGAATGTGATCCAACCAGGATCACCTCCTAGTTTAAAAAATTACCTTGCTATAAATACAATAGACATTTAAAACAGCATAAAAAGAATCTTACCTCATGCCAAGATATTCAAAAATTTAGGTGAAAAGGACAATTTCCTAGAAAAAATAAGGAAAAATTAGAATTCTGAATAGAACTAGAACTGACTAAAAGATTGAATCCATAATTAGAAATCTATCCACCAACTTACTCTCTGTGACACAAATGCAATGTATCCAATATCCACTTTACCCTCGATAAAATACCATCCTTCCATGGTAATGGAATGTTTAGCTGAGCACATTACACTTAATAAGTGTGACAAAAGAGTGAATAAGGCACTATGATATGTAGAAGTGTTATGATTATAGTTTTGTTGTCATTAACATGAGTTCCTTATTTGTTTATATTATGTCTTGATAAAATTTACATATAGTGACATGCACATTTCTTAAGTGTACTATTCCATGAGTTTGAACAAATGACTAACCTGAGACAGAAAATACAAAAAAATACCATCACCACAAAAGTTGCCTCATGTTCCCTTCACAGTGAATGCCCACCCCTCCACCCATAGACAACCACTGTTCTAAAATAGAATCTGTAAATAGAATCATACAGTATGTACTGTTTTGCATAAGCTTTCTTTCACTCAGCATTGTTTTAGAGATTCATCCATGTTGTATATATCTGTATTGCATTCATTTTTATTTTTGAGTAGTTTCCATTGCATGAATATACCAACATTTTATCCATGCTCTTGTAGATACTGTTTTGCTTTAAGAATTAAGAATAAAGCTGCTACAAGCATTCTTGTACATATCTATTTATACATATACATTTTTATTTCTTTGGTGTAAGGTTTAGTTTATATTTATTTGAAAATATGTGTATTTCTTATTTTTGAAGGATCTTTTCCATGGATATAAGCTTTATAGTACTTTTCTTCCAGCCTTTCAAAAGTGTTGTGCCACTGTCTTTTTGGTCTCCACTGTTTCTGAAGAAAAGTTGGCAGTCACTCATATCATGATTCTCCTATATGTGATGTGTCATTTTACTCTGGCCACATTCAAGATTTTCTTTTTCTCTTTGATTTGCAGCAATTTGATTATGATATTATTTTCTTCATATTTTTCTAGTTGAGGTTGTCTGAGTTCTTGATTTTGTACATTTATGTTTTTTAACAAATTATTAAGTCAAATATTTTTTCAGGTTCATTCCCACTTGCTTCTCTTTCTAGAAATCTAATTTACATATATTAGATTTTTTTCAATTGTCTCACAGTACCCTGAGGGTTTTTTTTTTTTCAGTTTAATTTACAGCTTTCTTTCTCTCTGTTTCTCCGAGTAGATAATTTTGATTGCTGTATCCTCAAGTTGAGTGACTTTCATCATCTTTAAACTGCTGTTAAGCCCACACAGTATTTTTTAAATATCAAATATTTTTTTTTAGTTTTTTCTCTGATATTTCCTATTTGTTCAATCATTATGAGCATATTTTCTCTCACATCCTTGAGCACAGCATAACAGCTGCTTTAAAATCCTCTGCTAATCCCAACATCATGAGGTTAGTCTTCATTGATTGTCTTTTCTTGTAAGTATGGCCCATATGTAGTAATTTTCTAAGTGTTCTTGTAAAAATCATATTGTAGAGACTTTGGATTCTATCATATTTCTTGGAAGATTATAAAATTTTTAAATTAATAAACTTTATTTATTAGAGCAGTTTTAGGTTCACAGCAGAATTGATCAGAAAGTTGAGAGACTTCCCATATACTCCTGTCCCCACACACATAATCTCCCCAACTATGGACATTTCACACCACATTAGAACATTTGTTACAATTGAGCTTACACCGACACATTGTTATCACCCAAAATGCATAGTTTACACTAGAACTCACTCTTGGTGTTGTACATTCTATGGATTTTGACAAATATATAATGACATTTATTCAGCATTGTAGTATCATACAGAATAGTTTCACTGCCCTAAAAATCCTCTGTGTTCTGTCAATTCATCCCTCCCTCTCCACAACTTTTGGCAACCATTGATCTTTTTTGGTGTCTTTAATTTTGTCATTCCCAGAGTGTCATATATTTGGAATCATACAGTATGTGTAGCCTTTTCAGATTGGCTTTTCTCACTTAGTAATATGCATTTAAGGTTTCTCTATGTCTTTTGATGACTTGATAGCTAATTTCTTTCTAGTGTTGTATCTCATCTGTTGCCACTTTTTTTCCTTTAAGTGTTATATCCAACTTCTGCCTGATTTTAGTTACTCTCCAGTTCATTTAGGTAGTTGTTTTTAAAGTAATTTTAAAAATCAGAATGTATGTTGAATGGTTATTAGATGTCAGTACAGATAATTGGGCTTAGTGAAAAAGATTTAGATACAGGAAGCCCCAAGTAACTGACTAAATGATGATGGCCTAAAATGGGACAGTAATAGTAAACATAAACAGAAGGTAAAAAGTTGAGGATCTCTACAAGCTCATATTGGCAAAGCTTTGTGATTCTAAACTGCCACACATTGACCTATCTAAATTGTTTGTCATAGTATGGAAAAGATGAGATTAAAAAGTTGAGGTAGTAGTGGCCAGCATTATTGATTGCTTCTCACCTAAAATTCATAAATGAGGAAAAATAAAGAGAAATATCTATCATTTTAAGCAAAGATATTCTTATATAATTTCTCCTTATATTACATCCACACGAAATAAACCAAAGTATTTCAGGAAGGACCATTGATGTCTGATTGCAGAGATGTATCATATTATCTAGAAATGTTGTCAGCTCCTAGAAATAGAGACCTAACTACAATGACTTAAATGTCTAAGAGTATATTATTTTACAGAAAAAATGTTCAGAAATGGGTGATCCACACTGATAAGGAGTTCCACAAAGACAACAGGAATCTAGGCCTAGGCCTTTCTTAATACATGTCTTTCATCCTCAAGGTTATAAGATGGCCACTGGAATTGCAACTGATGACAGTGGTGGCCCATCTGGAGGGGCCACTGCCATGATGCTGGCCGCAGCAGGGGAGGCTCAGCCAGGGCTGCATGCTCCACAGAGCGGACAAGAGCTGGCAACAGGCAGAAGCCCTTCTGAGTTGGCAGAGTGAGGGAGCCTCATGCTCCCCGGTGCAGCTGTGGCTGCACAGCAGCAGCTGTGGACCTGGGCATCTCTGCACTCTCGGGGGCCAGGAAGTTCCTGTGCCCCCACAGGCTCGGAAGTGCCTGCTCCCACTGCCTGGCCTCTCCAGACTCCTGGCCCCTGCTCCAATTTTGGAGCAAGGCTGTGGCCTAGCCCAGACACTGTCTTGACCTGGCTGGGTGTGAGCATGCTCTGGGCAGTGCTGACACCAGCCACCTGCCACTTGGGCCCCCTCTGGACTTTGGGCTCCGACAAGCATGGGAGGGAGGCCAAGGAGGGTTAAGGGCAGCTCTGCATGGGCCTGTAGGCACCCGTAGGCATGAACAGCCTCTGCTGTTCAGGGATGGCAGGTTGATGGCAGCAGGAAGCAGACAGGCTCCTGGGAGAAACGGGGCGGGTTCCCAGTGAAGCCCCACCTTCAAGCCAGGGATGGCCTGAAGCCTGGGGGCTTGGCTGACAGTTCTGTGGACTGGAGTGAGAATATATGGTACATTTTCTGGGCCCACCCATGGCTGCCTATGGACCAATCAGCATGCACTTTCTCCCCTCTGAAGCTCGTAAAAACCTCGGACTCCACCCGACTTGGCAGATGACCGGACAACCTGCTTGCGCAGAGGAGCTACCCACTGAAGGTCTCCTCTGAGCTTTTCTGGCACTCAATAAAGCACCTCTTTGCCTTGCTCACCCTCCAGAATCTGCATACTTAATTCTTCCTGGAGGTGGGACAAAAACTCTGGACCCGCTAATGGCGGGATTAAAAGAGCTATAACACAAACAGAGCTGAAACATGCCCCTGCACTCGCCATGTTACGGGCAATGAGGAAAGAAGAGAGAAGAAGAAAAGAGCTGTGGCCCTTTGGGGATCCCAGACCTAGGGGCTCCCCGAGCCAGGGCTATGACCCCACCCCCTCTTTGGGTTTCTGTGGTTCCTGGCGTCTCCAAGCTTCCAGGTGGCACTGTGTTCCCCTTGGCCAGATGTAGGTGCCTGCAGCAGAAGCCACGTGCAGTACATCTCATCTAGCCACAGCCTTGCACACAGCCGGCACCTATGCCAGTGCCTGGAGCTGCCTGCCCCACTGCAGCAGCCAGTGTGCCTGGGTGTGCACAGCGGCTGGACCCCGCACTTGTTCGCACACACACCCCTTGCTACTCTGTGCCTGGCTCACATTTAGCAGGTGTGGGATCCGGGCCGGTAGCGCGAGCTGAGTGCAGCCTGCCAGGCCGAGTGGGTGGAATGAGCCCAGTGGGAGCAAGTAATACTCAGGCAGAAGGCACTGCCAGCCACAGAGGTTTCCAGCTGGTCCCCTGACACAACCATCATATGTCCATTCCAGGCAGGAATAAGCAGAAGGACAAGGAACAAATGAACTCATCTGAGCTTCTGTTAATAAGAGCCTTCTAATAAATCCCATGCTATAACTTCTGCCTATATCTTTTTGGCCTGTATGTAGTTACATGGTCATGCCTATCTATGAAAGAGGCTGTGAAGTGCATTTTTAAAGTGGGGGCCATTGACATCTTGAATAAAACTGAAGTTACGTTGCTGAGAATAAAGGGGAAAATGGATATTGAATAAGCAACTAGCTATCTCTACCACATGCACCAAATGATTTAGTCAGAGCTCTATCAACAAACTTAAGCAAAAAGAGGAAGAAGAGGGAGAAGAAAAAGGAGAAAGAGAAGGAGACAGAGGAGGAGGAAGGAGGGCAGAAGAAAGGAAAGGAAATATATTGACCCACATTAGCAAACCTCAGGTATCTCTATACAGGCATACCCAATCTAGGTGCTTAAATAATCGTTAAATAAAAGGAAACTTCTTCCTTTTATTTCTCAGCTCTGCTTTCAACTCGGTTGGAAACAGGCTTAGACATATTCTTTCCTCAGGTTAGTGAGATAGCTGCTAGAAAGACCAGACTTCCATTTTCCCAGTTTAGCAATCCCAGTGGAAAGAGATCACCCGTTTCTCAATAATTTTGGTAAGAGTTATGCGTGGGACTCATGGTCCTTGGTATCATATTTCGTTCCTGTGGATAGGACATGTGCTGCTTTGATTGGTCGGATCTGCTTCACGGACCCCATCTCCCTGGGTCAGTCCCAATTAAATCAGATAAACTAAGTTGGGGGAGGCATATTTCCCTGAAAGAAACTCAGCATGCTGATGCCAGAAAAAGAGTGAATAGACACCAGGAAGGCAAAAATAGTATGCTTGACGCAGAAGGTAAAAACCTGGAAGAAAAAAATCATAATTTAGGCACTTCCAGTCTAGAAATGAAAACGCAAAACAGGAAACATAATGGAGATTTAATAAATCTCTTGTATGATTTTCTATTGTCTTTAATAATACTCAATAATACAATATCCACAGGGAAAAAGTATACCACAAGCCAATGTGAGTTCAGAAAACTCACAGAAATACTGTGAGTTTTCTGAAAAGCATTTACAGTTCTAAAACAACCACCAAAATATCAAGAAGAGGATTTGCATAAGCACACTATTTTTAGGGATATTTATTTGTGGCAACTTCTTTAATACCTAAATCATGGAGATTCAAAGAGATGCACAATCATAAGTTAATCCTGTCAACACTCTGTAATATAAGCTCTGGGGAAAAGATTATGAGGAGAATAGGGCATAAAGCAATGACATGGTTTTTTCCAAGGTCGTGAATTGAATCAGTGGCCAACCAAAGCTGCTGACTCCCAAAATACATGACTCATTCTTTTCCACATTTTCCATATCTTATTTTAGTTTATCACAATGACTGGTCTTTCTTAGCATTTTTTTTGTAGGTGATTGGCAGAAAATAAAAATGGCCATATGTTTGAAACTCAGCATCATCTGCCCTAGGGAAGTAATAAACAAAACAAGAGAGCACAAAGACTCAAATAAAGAAGCAAATGGGGCACATCAAAAAAAGTCTATTGAGAAAATTTACCCCAGTAGCTAAAGATAACTGATAGTAGAGTATAAATTGAGGTATAAGAACTCTCAGTGTTCAGTATGACAGTGGGTACACTTAAGACTAAGTGCTTTTTTTCTCATTTAACATAATTTAATACTTATAGAAGTTTCAAGAACTGTACAAAGAATTTCAGAATAATCTTTACCCAGATTCCCCAAATGTTAATTTTTATTTCCTCTTTTCCTCCTCCTCCTCTCTCTCCACACACACACACGCACACACACCACGCAAATACATTTTCTTAACCATTTAAAAGTAAGTTGAAGACAAACATTTTTCCAAAGAAGACATAAAAATGGCCAAGAGGTATATATAAAAAGATGCTCAACCTCACTAACAATAAGGGAAATGCACATTAAAACCACTGTGTGTTATCATCTCACACCTATAAAGATGGCTGTTATCAAAAAGACAAGAGATAGTAAGTATTGGCAAATGTGTGGAAGAAAAGGAACCCTGGCACACAGTTGGTGGAATGAAGATTGGCATAGCCATTATAAAAACCAGTGCGAGGTTTCTAAAGAAATTAAAAATAGAACTACCATATGACCCAGCAAATTCTCTTCTCTGTATATACCCAAAGAAGACAAAATCACCACCTCATAAAGATATCTGCATTCCAATGTTTACTGCAGCATTAGTCACAATGGTCAAGATATGAAAACAATCTAAGTGTCCGTTGAGAGATGAATGGCTAAAGAAAATGGGTGTGTATGTGTGTATATATATATACACACTGGAATATTGTTTGGCCTCATATAAAAGGAAAGCCTGCCATTTTCCACAACCTGGAACAACCTGAAGAACATTATGTTAATAAGCCAGACAGAGAAAGAAAAATATTGCATGACCTCACTTACATGTGGAATTAAAAAAAAAAAAAGACTTCAAATACACACAGCTAGAGAATAAAACAGTGGTTACCATGGCAGGGGAGGCAGAGTGGGGAAGAAATGGGGAGATGTAGGTCAGAGGATACCAAATAGAAAGTATGTAGGATGAACAAGTTTAGAGATCTAATGTACAACATGAGGACTAAAGTCAATAAAATTATATTGCATTAGAAATTTTTAATGAAGTAGATCTTAGCTGCTCTTACCACGAAAATAGAAACTATGCGAGATAATAGATATGTTAATCAGCTTCACTATAGTAACTATTTTACTGTCTGTATGTATACCATAACATGTTGTAACTCTCAAATATACACCATAAAATTTATTTTTAAAAGGATAAGTTGTAGATATAATGTCTTTTCCTGCTATACACTTTAGTGTGTAGTTCCTAAAACCAAGGACATTTTCTTACATCACAGCATAATTATAAAAATTAGGAAATTAACTCTGATATAATACTATTACTTAATATACAGCCCTTATCTCTTTACTTGCCTATATTATGGAATTCCTGAGGCTTTCTTTATAGAAAGTCTTTCGGGTATTTCATGAAGCTGACTTTTTTTTTTTTTTAGATGGAGCCTCGCTCTGTTGCCAGGCTGGAGTGCAGTGGTATGATCTCAGCTCATTGCAACCTCTGCCTCTAGGGTTCAAGCGATTCTCCTGCCTTGGCCTCCCGAGTAGCTGGGACTAAGGTGTGCGCCACCACACCCAGCTAATTTTTGTATTTTTAGTAGAGACAGGGTTTCACCATGTTGGCCAGGATGGTCTCCATCTCTTGACCTCGTGATCCCACCACGCCCAGCCTCTTTTTTTTTTTTTTTTTTGACAGAATCTCACTGTGTTGCCGAGTAGCTGGAACCACAGGCAGGTGCCACCATGCCTGGCTAATTTTTTAAAAAATTTTTTGTAGAGACAATGTCTTGCTATGTTGCTCAAGCTGGTCTCAAACTCCTGAGCTCAAGTGGTCCTCCCATCTTGGCCTCCCAAATTGCTGGGATTACAGGCATGAGTCACAGTGCCCACTGAAGCTGATGTTTTTAAGAGTATGGGACAATTATTTTGCATGCTGTCCTTCACATTGGAGTTTGTCTGATGTTTCCTCCTGATTAGATTCAAGTTATATACTTTTGGCAGGATTACCAGACAAATGATGCTATGTTCTTCTTGGTGCACCATCTTAGAAGGCATTTGCTGTTAATTTGTCCTATTATTGGTGATGTTAACCTTGACCATTTGGCTAAGTTGATGCTTGTCATGTTTCTCCACTTTAACATTGTTTTACCCATTATAATTAATAAATGCTTTATGGAAAGATATTTTGAGATTACATAACTATCCGGTTACTCCTCAAACATTATCACACTAGTTTTTGTATCCATTGATGACTCCTGCCAGAATCAATTAGAATGAATATTTTTAAATTTTTGTATTTATACATATTTGTACATATTTATAGTGTATATGTGTAATATTTTGATACATATATAGAATGTATAATGATCAAGTCAAGGTATTTAGGATATCCATCACCTTGAACATTTATCATTTCTTTGTATTGGGAACATTTCAAATCTTCTCTTCTAGATATTTTGAAATATATAATATATTGTTAACTATAGTCAAACTACTGTACTATCAAACACTAGAACCTGTTTCTTCTAACTGCATGTTTGTAACCATTAACCTAGAACGAGTATTTTTTAATTAATTTTGTTTCTAAAATGTGATGCTATGGTAAGTGTCAGCACTGTTGCAGAATTTTTATTATAGACTCACTTTTGTAACATAAAAATATTTACAATCAATTGCATCCTAGGTGGAATGCAATTTCATTCAATATACCTAATAATGAGCTAAAGACCATAAATGGGCATGCAGGATCTAATTGCAGAGATGAAAATGTTCTAAAGGTGACTTATGGTGATGGTTGCACCACTTGATAAAGTTATTACAATTATCAAATTTTACACAAGAAATAGGTGAATTTTATAATATATGATATATTTTGTTAAAGGTGTTAAAAATAGGAAAAAAAAATGAGTTGAAAATAATAGAATTATTTAAGTGAAAATGTGATAGCAAAGGCCAGTGAATGTCATTATTTACATAGATAGAAAGTAATTTATACCTAACCAGGGTTTGTTAACTTTCTTTTATATCATGGGGCCCTTGTCAGTCTGGTAAAGCCAATGTACCCCTATTAAGAAAATGTTTGGAGTATATAAAATATATAAGAAACATATAAGATTACATGGAAAATCAATTGCATATATGTATATGTATATGTATATGTGTGTGTGTATATATATATATATATATATATATTTTTTTTTTTTTTAGATGGCGTTTCACTCATTGCCCAGGCTGGAGTGCAGTGGCGTGATCTCGGCTCACTGCAACCTCGGCCTCCCAGGTTCAAGCAATTCTCCTGCCTCAGCCTCCCCAGTAGCTGGGATTACAGGAATGTGCCACCATGCCTAGCTAATTTTTGTAGTTTTCATAGAGACGGGGTTTTACCATGTTGGCCAGGCTGGTCTTGAACTCCTCACCTCAGGTGATCCACCCACCTCGGCCTCCCAAAGTGCTGGGATTACAGGCGTGAGTCACCACGCCTGGCCCTAAAATATTTTTATTAGGTAGCAAAATATGAGCTTTTAAAATGTGTTAAATAACAATAGGTTTAAAATATTGGCAAGTCAAAGTTAAATTTTTTTTTACCATATTCATCAGTGTGAGGCTGTTGTTGCTAAAAATGAAAAAGAACAATAAACTTTGATAAGGCAATGCGCATGTCGTGTAAAAGCCAGTTGAATTCTAGCTTTTGGTGTTTTTAGTTCAAGTATTGATAATCCAGATTCTTTTTTTTTTTTTTTTGAGACAGGGTCTTGCTCTGTCGCCAAGGCTGGAGTACAGTGGTGCAATCACGGCTCACTCCGCAACCTCCGCCTCTTGGGCTCAAGCCATCCTCCTATTCAGCCTCCCGAGTATCTGGGACTACAAGAGTGTGCCACCACGCCTGGCTAATTTTTGCATTTTTGGTAGAGATGGGGCTTTGTCATGTTGGCAAGGCTGGTCTCAAACTCCTGGCCTCAAGCGATCCACCTGCTTTGGCCTTCCAAAGCACTGAGATTACAGACGTGAGCCACCACATCTGGCCTCCTGATTCTTAAAAATATGTTACCATAAATGTAATTAAAGTTTCCATAGTTTGCTTAAAAAGAAACAGGTTATCTCAAGAAATACTGTCTTAGTCAGTTTGGACTGCTATAGCAAACTACCATAAACAAGTGACGCTAACAACAGAAACATATTTCTCCCAGTTCTGGAGGCCGGAAGTCCAAGATTAGGGTGCCAGCATGATCAGGTTCTGGTGAGGGCCCTTGTATGGATTGAAGACCACTGGCTTCTTCATGTATTCTCACATGGTGGAGAACAGAGAGAGAGGAAGAAAGCTCTCTCATATATTTTTATCAGGCCACTATTCCCATTAGTGAAGGCTCCACCCTCATGACCTAGTTACGCCTCCAAAGCCCCACCTCCTAATACCATCACACTGGGGGGGTTAGTATTTCAACATGTAAATTTTTTTGGTGGGGCACAAACATTCAGTCCATTGCAAATATGAAAATTATCCAAATCCATTGAGTTAAACTTCTATTATGAGGTTATACAGCTTCACCATTTGCAGGCCCAGCATTGCACTCTGGTTGGCCAGCTCCAGTGCATGAGTGTCTGTAGACAGGAAGGCTGAGATCTAATGCACTCACGCATTCACTGTGATAGGAAAGTATCTGTAATTTCTATTGGTGGCAAGGTCATAGGGACTAAGATTCTTGCAAGCATTCATACTTGAAGGATTTTCTACATTTCAGTTAAATGTTATTGAAAATAAAGACGTAATTTTTTTCCTCATTCAAATTCAAGGACCCTCTGAATTCCATCCAGGTAGACCCTTTGTACATCCAAGGACTCCAGGTTAAGAACTCCTGATATAAACAGATAGATAAATAGAATTTATGACTCTCACAGTTTGGCTATTTGGTATAGTTACAGAATCCTTAAAGACTGCAAAAAATATACCTATAAAGCCGGGACATTTTAAGAGAAAAGGAAAATTCCTGGTTTTGTCTATGTCAATTCCAAAGCTTTGAATATAGAATCCTCACTCTTTCGAGATTCCACCTTATAAAATATGGTCAAAATACTTAATGGTGTTTAAAAAAAAATTGTTGATGAGATATCTCTTTCAGCTCTTCCATTTCTAGGCATTATTCCAGCCCTGGGGTTTTTCTGCCTTGTCACTTAGGATAGGAAGAAACTGATCTCTCGTTTCTTATTCGTATTTCCAGTTTGGGGCTCTATTATTATTATTTTTTGCATTTTCGTATAAACTTTGATGCTGAATTCTTAAACTCATTGTAGGAAGAAGTCATCCAGTTACCTGTTCATGAGCAGTTAATTCTTTCCTATTACAACACTCAGTCCCAAAATATGTTATCTAGTCCTTTAGTTCTCTGAAACACATTAGAGATAAGATTTCTGCTACCTATATATTAATCAAAAGAAAAGTTTCTGGAAGTAAACAAGAATTACGATATAATAAAAATTACATTTGCTGGAAATAAGATTTGTGCTTTAATACAAATTATGCCAAATTGGGTGCTTCTGGTACTGTGTCTCAACTCAGTTGTCCTTATTGGAAAAGGAGTGGTAATTTCTTATATAATCTCTATGGTACTTTCTACCTGTAAAATTTAATAAGTCATTATCGTATCTAACACAGTCATCTAGTGCAGTGGTCCCCAACCTTTTTGACACCAAGAACCAGTTTCGTGGAAGACAATTTTTCCATGGACCAAGGTGGTGGGGATGGTTGCAGGATGATTCAAACACATTACATTTATTGTGCACTTTATTTCTATTATTACTACATTGTAATATAATGAAATAATTATACAATTTACCATAATGTAGAATCAGTGGGAGCCCTGAGCTTGTTTTCCTGCACCTAGATGGTCCCATCTGGGGGTGATGGGGGACAGTGACAGATTATCAGGTACTAGATTCTCATAAGGAGTATGCAACCTAGATCCCTTCTATGAGCAATTCCCAATAAGGTTTGCACTCCTATAAGAATTTAATGCTGCTGCTGATCTGACAGGAGGCAGAGCTCAGGCAGTAATGTGAGCGATGGGGAGTGGCTGTAAATACAGACGACGCCTGCCACTCACCTCCTGCTGTGCAGCCCAGTATTGGTTCATGGCCCAGGAGTTGGAGACCCCTGATCTACTGGATGCTATTGGTGCCCTGGCCTTGGTTTATTCCTTAGCTCTTCTGAGTATTTGCTGTTAACAACTCACAACTGTTACTATCTCGGGAGAATTGGTCTCTTCTTCTCAGTAGAACAGAAGACTAGAGCAGCCACACCTTCAAGGGTTATAACCCCTTCCAATAATTGACTGACATGAGGCACAAAAGGTGACTCCCTTCCCTGAAGGGTCCAGAGTTTCCCATTGGACCGGCCTGAAAGCAGTGTCCTAATGAGACTACATCCTTGCTAAGCTTTTTCCTCCTGCACTCTCTTACCTCCCACCCCAACTTCTCCGAGAGCATTTTCTCAACTAATCATTTAAATAAGAATCCCCATTTTGGGCTGGGCACAGTGACTCACACCTGTAATCCCAGCACTTTGGTGTAGGAAATTGGTCAGAGTGGTGGGAAAAACTATACGGAAAGGATGCAAACCTTCTGAAAGTTTGGAAGGTTCTGCAGAGCCCCTGGGGAGAAGAGCTGAAGGCAGCTGTTCTATAACCGAGAGGCAGAGGGCAAGGAGTAGGTACAAGGAAGTGTAGGGGAATTTATCTTAAACAGGCTTGTTTACTTATGTTGACCAGAAACTGACCTTTGATCATCCGTGCGCATGATGTTCCCTGAAAGGGGAACAATAAATGTTAATTACCTATAGGTTGTGTTTGCTCCAGGTTTTTGGCATTATGCCTGCACTGAAAAAAAGCAAGCAGCTCCAGGTTCTTGGGGCTGCTCTCTGGCCACTAGAGCCAGGCAGTCATCTAGCTGCTCTTACACTGCATACTTGTGTTGGAGTACTCATTTCATCCGTCAGCCAGGGTCTGCGGGACAGGCCCGGCACTTTGGGAGGCCAAGGCGGGCGGATCACTTGAGCCCAGGAGTTCAAGACGAGCCCAGGAGTTCAAGACTAGCCTGGTCAACATGGTGAAACCCTGTCTCTACTAAAAATACAAAAAGTAGCCAGGCATGGTGGAATATTCCTATAATCCCAAAAACTTGGGAGGCTGAGGCAGGAGAATTGCTTGAAGCTGGGAGGCAGAGGTTGCAATGAGCTGAGATTAAGCCACTGCATTCTGTCTCTAAATAAATAAATAAGAATCCCCATCTCACACTCTGCTTCTAGGGAACTTAATGTAGACAATATCTTACCACAGGCATTTATCAAATGTTTGTGGACTGACAGAATGAATGAATGGAATTAATCTTGTTTAATTTAATAATAAAAGGTAGAGACACAGCCTAAGAATGCCTCACATTCAGCAATAAGTACGTGTTGGGGACATTTCTTAGCAAGTACTATAAATAAACATGTCTGTAAATCTGCCTCTGTCTCTTTATGATAAAATTAATTGGTTCATTTCCAGAAGGAGCTTCCCCCAAATGCTTATTTAATATTCAGCAGAGAATGGGCTAACTCTAACCACTGGCTCAAGTAATAAAAGTAATGAACTCAATATTTAGGGAGGAAAGCAAAGCTGACAGCTCATATTCCCAGAGTTTAGCACCTTTGATTAATTATTTATTTCTAATATAAGGGGGTACATTATCAACAACGTATTGCTAATACATTATTAGCAATACAGAATTAATAATGTATGAGAAGACAATGCAGTAAGTGCCCAAAAGTGAGGCTAACTTTCAATTATTCAGTGATAGAGATGAGTAATGTAGATGAGTGGGTTGGAACAGATTATACAGTTTGTACCAATCCACAGAGAACAGACGAAACTCTCATTTACTAACGTATCTTCTTTTAAGTAATACCCCAGGTTTTTCTTTTTCTTTTTTATTTTAAGTGGATAAAAACAGTTGTGTAAGCTTTAAAACTTCTTACTGGAGAGAAATTCTCTGTAATTACTCTTCAGAACAATAACAAATACCAGAACCACTCCTGTTTTGTAAGAACAGAAAGGCCAGGCGCGGTGGCTCACGCCTGTAATCCCAGCACTTTGGGAGGCCGAGGCAGGCAGATCACAAGGTCAAGAGATCAAGACCATCCTGGCCAACACTGTGAAACCCCGTCTGTACTAAAAATACAAAAATTAGCTGGGCATTGTGGCACATGCCTGTAGTCCCAGCTACTCAGGAGGCTAAGGTAGGAGAATTGCTTGAACCCGGGAGGTGGAGGTTGCAGTTAGCCGAGATCATGCCACTGCACTCTGGCCTGGTGACAGAATGAGACTCCATCTCAAAAAAAAAAAAAAAAGAAAAGAAAAGAAAAGAAAAGAAAAATCCTGGATATTACAGATGGGAAGATAGTTCCATTGGTGCTTGGACTGCGCTCACTACTCAGTTCTAGTTATCAGTCCTCTGGCCCCAAACTATTATTTTTCAGTGGGTGTTCAGTTGGTAATAAGCACCTGTTTGGAAATTGCTGGGACATTCTCACTTAAAGGCAGTATAAGTTTCACTGCTTTTGCTTTGCTATTCCTTGTGATAGGGCAGTTGAACTGAAAAATATCTTGTCTTTCATTAATACTTTTTCTGTGAATAAGCTATATGTACATGTTATTGAAAGATTTTATGTATTGGAGTTCAAACAAACACTATCAGATGTATTTTAGCCATCATGAAGGAAAAAACCCTCAAATTTCTCATCTGTTTATTAGAGAATATAAGATCTACAAATGTGGTCTTCAACCCCAATAAGTATGAATATTCTAAACGTGAGTGAAACCATCATTCCTTAAAACATTTGTGTTTCTCATAGCGTGTAGTATATAGTAGGCATTTTCAACACAGGTTGAGAAAAATGTCAAAAACTCCTTGGCTATTTTGCTATGGCTGCCATAACAAAGTAATACAGACTGACTATGGCTTAAACAAGAGAAATGTATTTCTCACAGTTCTGGAGGCTAGAAGTCCAAGATCAAGGTATCCACAGGGTTGGCTGGTTTCTTCTGTGGTCTCTCCTCGGCTTATACATGGTCACTTTCTCACTGTGTCCTCACCTGGTCTTTCTTCGCTGTGTGTATGTGCACATGTCTGTCTCCTATCCTCCTTTTTTAATAAGAACATTATTCTTATTGGATTAGGGCTCACCCATATGACCTTATTTAGGTTACCTCTAAAGGCCCTATTGCTACAGTCACATTCTAAGATACTGGGGATTAGGGCTTCAATATATGAATTTTAGGGGGAAGCACATTCAGCCCATAATATTTCTTTATATTGGTCTTATAGTTTTGACTTTTATCAAGTTTATATGCTAAAAGAAAATAAAACATAAGTACAAATTATTTTAAAATAAAAGATATGAATTATAAAATCGCCCTTTTTCTAGCTATTGTTTGGAAAATCATACATACTAATTACAATTCAGTAGTTGTTATAAGCTATATTAACATTCTATCTGGGGAAAAGCAAATATTAATAAGGCTGATGAGATAAACTGAGTTTTCATTTCCTAAACTCTCCATATAAATAGAATATAGAACTGTCTGATTAAAATTAATCTGGGCTTTTTCTTTTTTGTAATGGAAACATTTAACAATGTTTGAAACAGGTATTTGGTATTGCAATACATCATGTGTTTCATAAACAAGATAATTATATTTTCAGCATAAATATTATATATTTATAAATATAGTAAATTATATTTTCAGCATACATATTAAATGTTAATATTAAATAATAAATATTAAATATAAAATAAAATAATAAATATTAAATTATAAAATTACATTGAGTGTAATATTAGTAAGAAAAATTCTGGAAGTGTTTTTCACAAGACTAATTTTCATTGTTGTAATTATAATTAAAGCCATTTCATTTATGTGAGAAACTGACACTGACAAACTTTGGCTTTATAACTAGTGAAAAAATAAAAAGGGCAAACTATATAGAAAGTTTAGTATAAACAAAAAAGATTAGGATCATCAGAAGTTCATGTCATAACTTTCTGAGAAAAAGGAAAGAAGGAGAATATTGTCTACTTTATGTATTATGTATGCAAATATGTGATCCATGTCATCTATTAGAAAAAGATTTTATATCAACTTTTTAAAATATGAATATCTTACCCATGGTTTTGGGTTATTACACCAGGTAAAGAGGCTCAGCCTGTTGGCATTTTTCTGAAAGCAAGAGAAATGTGGAAGGGATAGTTGAAGAATAATGTAGATAGCAATTACAGCCTCATGGCCTATTCCAGAAACAAGGACTATAGAGGCTTTGTAGATTTTCTGTTTGCTTGGTATGTGTATACATTTATTTGTATGTCTTAGTGATTTTCTTCTCTCTCTTTCATTTATTATTTTACATACAAGTTTCTGAAGGTCGCATTTACAATTTAGCCTTTAGATAACAGAGTATTTGGTGGGACTTTGAATGACAATAACCCTTAGAATAGTGTGTCCTTTCATTTTGGGAAGAAGGTCAGAACTTCACGTATATGAAGGATAGCTACATCTGGTTGGGTGGAAAACTTCAGTGGTTTTGTTTTTGAGTAGAAGTTTAAATGTGTGTAGAAAACTGTATGTGGAAGCTACGTAGCCAAAGGGTGGGCTGTACAGTTATCAATTTATTGTCTCTCAGCTCCAAATGCACTATTCTTTGCCCTGTTTTATGATACTGCAGCTGGACTCAACAGTTCCCACTTGCCTGCCAGGGGAATGTTAGACTTCGCCAGTAGTGGGCACAGGCATAACCATGCCAGGAAAATAGCAGCAGGAAGACCCTTCCCCTTCCATATACCAGTCCTTAAATAGTATTATTCAGAACAGGAGACCAGTAGCCAGCCGTGCAGATGAGCTCTAGTCATACCCTGAGCCCATGATCTCCTTCCTTACCAGAAGCCACTTCTGAGCAGCACTATTCTGCCCACTCCTTCTCTCCTTCTGGCAACTGTGAGCCCCTTTTTTTTTTTTTTATGACAGTCTTGCTCTTTCACTCAGGCTGGAGCGCAGCAGTGTGATCTCAGCTAACTGCAACCTCTGACTCCCAGATTCAAGCGATTTTGCCACCTCAGCCTCCCAAGCAGCTGTGATTATAGGCGCCAGCCACCACACCCGGCTAAATTTTGTTTTGTTTTGTATTTTCAGTAGAGATGGGTTTTCACCACGTTGGTATGGCTGGTCTCAAACTCCTGACCTCAGGTGATCTGCCCACCTCAGCCTCCCAAAGTGCTGAGATTACAGGTCTGAGCCACCGCGCCCGGCCTGTAAGCCTCTTCTATAGACTAGAGCCAACCTCCACTCTGGCAACCTCATTCACCACCTGCAGGCTGTTGCATTCCATGGCAGCGGCTCCCCATCTGAAGAGATCAAAATCTCAGCCTGCGCTCAGGAAGCAGCCTTCTCTTTGTACTTACTTAGTTCTTTTATTGTCTGTGTTTTCACAGGCAATAGGTAGGTAGTAGCTGCTGTTTTACACCTGATACTTCTGTATTCCTTTTGCCCATGTTCACAGATAACCATCTTCAACTAATAATGTTTTATATTGAACTTTTGCTTTTAGATAACTGCTGTGATTCTGTCTCCTGCCTAGACCCTGACTCATAAACCCTATGAAAAGGAAATCATGTATGGTTTTTTTTTCCAAGCAAATTGTCTTTTGCTCATTGGATTTATTAGGTTAGAAATACAGGTCCTAAATCAGACTGCATTTTGTTTTATAGTGTATAGTGTTTTTTTCTCTAAGCTCCTGTCCCCAAGAAGAAGAAGAGGATGTGCTATGGAACCTGACTTTATCTATTATGAAATACACAATAGGAACCTAGATAGTTGAATTAACATTAAGATTTTATGAAATATTATTGCAAATAATTGCCAAAAGTCATAATACAATAGCTGGAGTGAAAACTGATGGTGGTTCATAAATTGTATTGGTTGGTCAATAAAGTTTGATGCAGCAAGTTCACTAAATTTTCATACAAATGAATCAGCAGCAAGTTCACTAAGTTTTCTCTTTTTAGGTCTTTTATTTTCAGAACTATAAAAAGCACTGTAACTCTCGGTGGTTAGGAAAAAGCTGGCATTCTTTTGTGTAGCAGATCTTTTTAGCAAAAGGATTTGTGATTGATCCCTGGACTCTAAACGCAGGGCAAAGATTTTGGATGGCTTTTCTTAAAAAAACAATTTTAACACATAACGAGGCAGAAACTGGCCATTGGAATTACACTGAGCTCCTTAATCCCATTAAAATAAGCTGCGAACTCTAGCTGATGCTCTAGGGAAGCAGTTGTCAAACTTCAGTGTGCACTAGAATTGCTTGGTGGGCTTATCAAGTCACAGACTTCTGGATTCCACCCTGTTTCTAATTCAGTAGAATTTGCATTCCTAACAAATTTTCATGTATGCTTGTGTAGGAACCAAACTTTAAGAACCAATGTTTTAGAGCAAGAGTTTATCTCCTCCCATTTTCACCCTTTCCTCCTATTTCATCCCAAACTATTTGCATGTGCTATTATTTTCCTGGGATCTATATTTTTGGTAGTGAATTCTGCCTTCAATTCCTGCAACTCTTTTTCTAGTATTTTTGAAACTTGGCTAATTTTTTCTTTTTCTTTTCTTAATCATCTGGCCTAAACATCTCTCATTGCTATAGGCTTTCTGTTGTCTGCTTCAGTCCCCAGTGTCATGTTGCACTAATTTTCATTGCAGCCCCTTAGTCAATGTTCCTCTTCTCCTTCTCTCCTTCCCACCACTCCCTCTGCAAGCGCACAGGCACACTCTCTAATGCCGGTAATGAATGGTTGAAGTGGGATTTAGAGAGATTAGGATGTGTTGATCTTTTCAAATTAATCCATGCTGGGAACTAGAAGACCTTGAAGCATTCTTTAATAATCCAATTTAGAATCCCCCTTGGGAAATGTGTGGAATGATCTTCCTATCTCTTTTGAATGTTAGATAATCTTTATTTTATTCCTGCATCTTTCACAGTCCCTCAAGTACACTGATACACAAGTTCTTATTCACATTACTTTGTTGTCCTTATCCTGCTTAATCTATCCTGAAATGTTCTATTCATCTCTAAGATTCATCTTAAGCATTGCCTTTTCTGAGAATTCCTCCTAGATGCTCTTCTCCACGTTGGTATAGCTAATATGCATCTCACAACTGACATGGAATTTATGCAAGTTAGCAGACTTCATTCAGATTATTGATACGCTCTTTGCAACCTGTTCTTTAATTGTGACTTTCTACTCTTGACTAATATTAATTTCATGATTGTTCATTAAAAGATTGTTCTCCATTTTTGGAAAACATGAGAATAAGTAATAAGGACTATCCTTTCTCTGTGTCAGCACACCACTGACTCTCATTTGGGACTCATTCTGTCAAGTTCATGTTTGTACCATGGGACTTAGGCCGGTTAAGAACAGGTTTGCAATATTTCTTCCTTGTTTAGACTTGATACTTCCTTTCCTGACCACCATGGTTCCTGCTGCTTTTCCTCACTTCCTGTTTATGACCTCATCTTTGCCTCTTGGCCCTAGTGACTGAGATTGCTCTTCTAGTACTAACCAGAGGATTATATGTGCCTATATGTGCCCAATCTGAGTAACCCCAATTCCTGGGACTGTAGTCCAGGGTGATAAATTAGTCTCACAGAAATTGGCTTGAAGAGTACTACCAGTCAGTACTCTAACACATGTATTTTATACATTTGATTGTATAACTTCCAGTGATACATTTTCAGCAAAGGATAACAAGATATGAGAATAAAGGAGTATTTCTCAACTAGTTCCATGAGAGAATTAGTCCTTATTGCACTAATACATCCATAATATACAAATAATTAACTTCTATCCTATACGTCTGGAGAGGTATTAGTTATGTGACCATCTTGGGCTAATAGAGAAAATTGTCACTGAAATCATTTTTTGATGTTGTGTGGCTCAGATGAGCAGAGAATGTGGCTTCTTGAGTCCCCCAGAGGACATGTGCTTGGTTGGTGCTATGGTCTGAAGTTTTGTGTCCCCTAAAATTAATATGTTAGACACTAATCACCAGGGTGATGGTTGTGAGAAGGTAAGGGCTTTAGGAAGTTATTAATGCCTTTATAAAAGAGACCTCAGAGAGCTGTCTTGCCCCATCCCTCATGCAAGGAGACAGGGAGAAGATGCCATCTGTGACCCAGAAAGTGAGCTGGCACCTGAGTCTTGGTCTTCCCAGCCTCCAAAACTGTGAGAAATAAATTGCTGTTGTTTTTGAGCCACTCAGTCTAAGGTATCTTGTTATAGCAGCTCAAATGGACTAAGACAGTTGGTGGCAATAGTTTTGTAATCGTCCATGGGAAGGTTGTGTCACATCAAAGAACGTGCCCTATTGGAGCAGAGGAATATTTAAGCTTAAGCTTTAGAATCTCTCACTTGCATGAGCCTTTCCCAAGGCCTTGGGAGAGAGCACAGAAATATTGCATTTGTCAGTTTTTATTTCTTGTTAAGTAGGGCTCTCCCAACAAACTGTATGATGACTTACATGGCATCTAAACCTGTCTTAAGCAAACTATGCTATCTGGATCATCATCCCGGTTCTGGGTACAGTTTTTTAATGTCATAGACACAATCTTGCTACATGGTCCATAAAAATGATTGCCCTTGTCCGTGTACACTAGCACTGCAATCATTTCTCATTGGCACTAGGCAACAATGACCAATCTGCAAACATGCTCAAGGGGTGGCCAGCTCGGACCAACCACATTCACATGCCAGCGCTGGGAATGCAAATTTGATCTTCACCCCTCTTGAAGTTCCTCTTTCTTTCTTTCTTCCTTCCTCCCTCCCTCCCTCCCTGCCTCCCTCCCCTTCCTTCCTCCCTCCCTTCCTCCCTCCCTCCCTTCCTTCCTTCCTTCCTTGCCTCCTTCCTTCCTTCCTGTTGTCAAATGTAACAGAAAAGGAAGAAAGAAGAGAGGAAAGGCGTGAAGAAGGGAGGCAAGCAGGAAGGAAAGAAACAACTTACTATGTATGGTATTTAAAAATTAATCTCAGTTTATTATTTAGGCATTTGGTATCCTAGGACTCCTAGGGTTGCCTTGGTTATGTGTTTTTATTTTCACGATGTATACATGTCTGTGTGTGTGTGTGTGTGTGCGCGCGTGTGTATACATAATAAAACTGTGAAGTTTTAAATGTGAGATTACCAAAAAGTACACTCTGAATCATATTGTTTCTTTTGATATTTCCCCATTCACTCTCATATTCACACATATGCTAAACCAATAAAACTCTAGTATAGAGCATTTACTTAGCATCTACTCAGTATTAGTGTGATTACTGTGCCATTTGAATTATATAATGAGAAATATATTTCTGTAGTTTTTAACTCTCTTGAATTATATTAAAGTCTTACATGTTTTTCCTCTGAACTTTACAAATTTCCTAAATTTAAGAATATAAATTTCAAAATGAAATGACAAAAATGTAAGCTCCTTAATGCTGTCTCTCTTATATCATCGGCCATTCTCACCTTCACACTTTATATTCCAACACAAGTGGGCTGCTTACACTTCTCTAGCCCAGTTGGTTACTAGGGATAAGAGTTAAGTGCATAGCAAAGGCATATCTTCCATATCCCATCCATATATATTCTCCTCTGTATGGGGAGTTAAATTGCTAATCGGCATGCCAAGAATTCTGACTTATGAAATATTGGCAAGGAGGTTTTCAATTCTAAAAGGTGGAGGATATTTAACTGTGATAACATCTTTAAACTATAACAATAAAATAAAACAAAGAAATATATATACTAGGATTAAATTCTTAAATAAAACAAGTCAAATGTTGCTTATTCTTACTTATAAGTGGGAACTAAATAATTTATACACATGGACATAGAGTGTGGAGTAACAGATCTTGGAGACCTGGAAGGGTGGGAGGGTGGGAGAGAAGTGATGGTTGAGAAATTACTTGGTGGACACAATATATATTACTCAGGTGATCATTACACTAAAAGCCCAGACTTTACCACTATGCAATATATGCGTGTAATGAAACTGCACTTGTACCCCTTAAATTTATACAAATTTTTTAAAAAGATTAAAAAAAATTACTTACTATTGCAAAATATTGCAAAGATTGGATGCTTCAACTTTGCTTGCACTGGCAATCCTATTCGTTCCAGGGAAGGTATTGTATGTAAAGCTAGGAATAAACAGGTTCTAAATAAGACTCCTAGGATTGTGGCTCTTTACCTTGTTTTGGACACTTACTGATAACATTTTTGGGAAATATAATCTTGACTGTCCCATAGGAAATAAGATCATCCTGCACTTTTTTTTCCCTAATGGAAAGTAAATATTTTATCTGAAGCAGAATAGAAAGCCAATTTTACATAAATGGTATGCAAAATGAATGTATTGGTTTTAGACCATTGTTGCTTGTGTTCAAATAAATTAAAAAAAGCCCTACAAGAGAAATGACCTTTAAAAGGTCACTAAAGAGAAAAGAAGATGAGTCACAAACCACCCTCAGCAGAGCTGAAAACTGGGGCAATTCCCCAGAACTCAGTGTGTGGGAGGTGGTGGTGGAGAGGGTTACCACGCAGCTAACAAGCCCCTAGCAACCACAGGGCGGTGACTCAGGGCAGAGACTCTCTTCAGCAAGAGAGGAAATGGCTCAGCCACTTCGAAAGACAGACCTGAGATCTGCATCTACACTATCAGCACATGACAGCCTCCATCATCTTCAAAGGAAAAGGTTGGACTGTCTCTCCCTTATTCTTCCTAAAAAAACACACCAGTTGCCACTAATCTTCATGTTAATGCAATTCCACCTGTATAGAAACTTTGGTCCATTAGCTGGAATGAAGCGTGAGTCTGTGATGTTTGTCCCAGCTCAAGCTGGTGCAGAACTTCATAAAGGGAAATTAATACAGTTAGATCATTTATGGGAAGAGAAAGAGAGAGATACTAATCGAGTTTAACTTGACGGCCAGATAAGGTACAAAGAGTTTTGCCTACCTGGCTGTTCTTTTAAGATAGATCTGAAAACAGAACAAAACAAAACAAAAAACCTAAGCAAACTACAGAGTGTAAAATTTACCCAGTTATAAGAGTAATAAACAAGAAACTGAGGAAAATCATTCCGTGTGATAAAGTTTGTGAATCTCAATTATTATTGTGCATTTATGTGTCTCTTGAAACTGAGAAAACTGAGCAAATATCTATAATCTCTAGGACATTGTTGGGACTCAGACATACCATCCCAAAATATGACTGGAGGAGACAAGAATATGCCATGCCAAAATATGCTTCTTTGGCATATTTTGAGCTGGTTATTCTGAGAATCTACAGACACAGGAGTAGCTCTGAAAAGCTCCCCTTGTGTAAGAGAAATTTACATCTATAAAACAAATCTAAGTTATCAAAAGTATTTGTATCAGGAAGAGGGCTGCTCCAGACAACTTTTATTACTTGAGAGACTTATCTGCATAGCAAGACAAACTTCATTTACCATACTTTTTCCCCCATCACCCTTCCATAACTTGGTGCCTCCTCCCACAAGAAGCCCCAGGATGCTATATAAATTTCAATCATCTGGCCTTTCTTCGAGTCTCATGTTTTCCGGGACTCCCATGCATATGCACATAACTAAAATGGTTTTTCTTCAGTTAATCTGTCTTATGTCAATTTAATTTGTAGCCCAGCCAAAGAACCTACAAGGATGGAGGGGAGCCATTTTTCTCTCCCCTGCAAAGCTGTCTGAATTATTTCTGAACTTAAGGAATCCTGCAGCCAGAAAATTGGAAGACAAACTGAAATCTAACTGGATCGTTTGGTATTGGTGAGAGCCCAATACTAGGAAAATAATCTTATTTGGTTAGAAATCATTATCCAGTCCATTAGAGTATCTAATACCTGTTGTAACCTAATTTACAGATTTGTCTTATATCTAAATGAAAAACATATCATTATTCCATAGCATTAAACAAGCACAGTCCTGAAGCCACTTTGAGAAGTAAGAAGTCTGATTCTATGTTATTCCTGGTATTTTCATAGAAAGTGTTTTAGTGTAATAAGTCCTCAGATTTCTCTAAAGAAGGCTGCCAACCATCTTTTCCTAACCTGATCCCCAAGTACCATATCCTGTTATATACCTTTCCTTCCACAAAATATTGCATCCATAAAAAACAAAGACAAACACAGGATAAAATGAAAAATAACAAAGAAGAGTGCTTAGAAATTACAAGCATAATATATAAAAGAAAACCTTTCATAGAAGAGATTAAAGATAAAGTTAATCAAATCTCCCAGAGAAACAAGAAAAAAAAACAAATAAAAAGACATTAGTAGAGAAAACATAACAGATTCTAATGATCAAACTGTAAGAACATCTGAAGTAAGAGGAGTCCAGAAAAAGAGAAAAAATTTCTTGAAACTGAGGCAATGAGCCTACAGATTGAAAGGCCACTGATATGAGCAGAGTAAATTTAAAAAGATCCACACCAAGGCATACTGTCATGAAATTTCAGAACATCAAAGATGAACAAATCTTGAAAATGACTTTAAAATTAGTCTATATGCAAGGGAATAGAAATCCACATGGCATCAGACTTGCTAGCAGCAATTTGCCATCCTAGAGGATGCTAGAGGAAAATGAAGCCATACTTCAAATGTTTGTGAGACAATTATTTTCTCCTAGACAAATTAATGGTCAAGTATGAGGGTAAATAGAGACATTCAAAGACACATAATTCAAACATATAACTTTTGTAGGAAACAACTGGAGAATATATACCAACAGAAGAAGGAGCATACATGACAGAGGACTCCAGGGTCCACAAGAAGGAAGAGATCCAATGCAGGCAGGAGGCAAAGGACAGTCTCACATAATAGCGAAAGGGTGTCCTACATGACTGCTGTGTAACAAACCAGAAATCAATAACTCAAGATTGGAGCAGGAGGACTGGGAAGAGCCTCCAGGAAAAAATAGAATTGACAGATTATCTGATATATCTGAGCACTTGGAAAATATTGATAAGTATTTGAGAGATGCGATGGAGCACATATAAAAATTTTTGATGAGAAATCAAGAAATGAGGCATTTATTAATACTAAGAAATGACAAAATGTGGCAATTGTTAACACTAGGAAAAACAATGTTTTATATGAAAGAACTTGGCTCTGAAGGGTCAACATTTACCAATCATAAAAATGTCAACACTGAATACTGGCATAGCTAAAACTCCCAGAGATGGGATATGTCTTATTCATTTCTACATAATCAGCTCCTATTAATGAGCAAGGTTCATAATAAACGCTCAATGACAGTTTCACAAATGAATGACTGATCTATTAAACATTGTAAAATCCTCTTTGCTTT
Source organism: Homo sapiens (assembly GCF_000001405.40). NCBI lineage: Eukaryota > Metazoa > Chordata > Mammalia > Primates > Hominidae > Homo > Homo sapiens. Next base: position 79,454,496 of record NC_000013.11, read on the forward strand.
CTGTCACTAAAAATGTTATTCCTTCTACCTCTGAGAAGTATTGAATTAACTATCTCGGGAGAGTGAGAGATATAAGGAAAGTGGGACTGGTGGTATAAGAGATGTACATCCATATTTATTATTAATAGGATATTAATAAATAAATTTGAAATTGATAAACAAGACATACCAGTATAAGCAGATTGTTTGGAAATATGGAGGTAAATACCAAAACAACCCTGTATGAGTTGTGTCATCCAAGGTCTTTTGGCTAAATAGTAGAAAGAAGAGCTTTATTAGCCATATCAGTTTGCAAACCAGGAAGAGATAGTCTCCAGCATATAGTAAAGGTGGTCTCTCTTTGAGGAGGGAAGGGTAGGTTTGATTTTGATGCCTCAGAGTGCCCATATTACACAATAGAGCCATACATATTTAGCAGGTTTAGGGGGAAAAGCTACACATATCTGTGAGAGGTGCCAAACACATGTGCAATAGGTAAACATAGATGTAATATACATCCCATATTCACTTTGAGGGGAGTTTTAGCATTAAAATGAAGTCAAATTTTGTTGTTTATGTCAAAAGGTGAACTATTAGACACAAAGACAATTTGTGCTCAGCCTCTAAGCTGGCTGAAACTGATTCAAGGTTTGCAGTTTCTTATTAGAAAAGAATGTTTGTAAGGCCAGTCCTCTGTCCGATCAGTGTTGTAAATCAGAGTTAGGAGGGGTCTGATAGGAGCTATATGAATTTTTTTTTTTTTCTTTTTTGAGATGGAGTCCCGCTCTATTGCAATGGCATGATCTTGGCTCACTGAAACCTCTGCCTCCTAGGTTTAAGCGATTCTTCTGCCTCAGCCTCCCAAGTAGCTGGGATTATGGGTGTCTGCCACCACGCCCGGCTAGTTTTTGTATTTTTAGTAGAGGCGGGGTTTCACCATGTTGGTCAGACTGGTCTTGAATGCCTGACCTCAAGTGATCCGCCCGCCTCCGCCTTCCAAAGTGCTGAGATTACAGGCATGAGCAACTGTGCCTGGCCGCTATATGGAATTTAACAAGAATGTGGTTCTTCTTGTGGCCCTAGGAATTTAGAAATCTGTCATGCAGCAGGGCCCTGAATCTTCCACCCATAGGTACCTTTCATTTCCTTAACTTTAGAGTTCATCTTAGTCAGTAAAGGGGCATCTATTTTTGTCTCTCAGATCACAGTTGAAAATACTTTCTTCTGGGGAATGAGATGGAATTGGGCAAGGGATTACGGGAGTACTATAATTTTAAAATTGTTATTACAGTACTTCACTAAGAGTTCTCTTTCTCTCAGACACACATCCCTACATCCTTCTGAATTAAGACTTTGACTATACAAGTGTGTCTATACAAGAGAGAAAACCAAGAATGCAAACTAATTTCTATTTTTACTGTAATTGAGTTTATGGACTTCATTGACTTGTCAGATGAGAGAGTTAATTCCAACACGTTGTAAGCTCTCTGAAACAGAGCTTGTTGGGTTAAGGTTGGAATAGGATTGGGGTTAGGGATGTTGGGGTGCTTCCAGTGGAAGATCACAAGCCAGAGTGCCTGAAGTGGGAAGCAGAAGCATATAACCAGACTTGCCACTAGACCAAAGGGTGTCCTTGTGCAAATTAGGAAAACAAAAACAAAAACAAAAAAAAACATGCTTTCTCAAGACATTTTACTGCCTTCAGCCAGAACATCACGGTGATAAATACCAAAATTCAGTGAAGACAATGGATGTGAACAGCTCTCCCCAGAATCCAGCATTGCATAATCTTGCAAAACTGTATGCAACAGCCCTGCCTATAACTAAAGGTGGGGATAGGAGAGATGAGGGTTGTGAGGGCCCTGAAGAAAAACTTTCCCTATCTCATAATTTACTTAAGATTATTAAAGTAGAATTTTAAGGATATTCAGTAGATTTTTTTTTTTTTTTTTTTACTTTTCCTATGGTGCTGAGGTAGATGTTAGTGATACAACAAATATTTCCTAAACATTCTCTCCCATAAACCAGGAGCTACAAAGATGGGACACGTGTCGTATTCATTTCTACATAATCAGCTTCTACTAACAAGTAAGGCTCATTAAAAATACCCAACGATGTACAAACGAATGGCTGATCTATTAAACATTGTAAAATGTGCTTTGCTTTCTGTCATTGAAAACGTTATTCTTTCCACCTCTGAGAAGTTAAGAGCCAGGGCTCTTATGGAAACTTGTCTGGGTTTGAGTTCAACACCACCACCTCCTAGTATAGCTTTGAGCAAGTTACTCCTAAGCTCAGTTTTCTCATATGAAAGATGAACTAAATACAGTATCTACTTTATGGAGTTATTGTGATGATTAAATGAGACAACCTTTAGAAAGTATGTCAGAGGTTGGCACACAGTAAATACTCAATAAGCTTTACTGTTATTACTAAGCCAAGCAATACTCATCTTTTTAAAATTCACCATTAATAGCTGTACCTCTGTTGGAACTTACATTGGTAGCTAGTAACAAACAACAAAAATAACATGATCTTTAACTGTTTTTGTCTCAAGTAAAAGAAATTTGAGGGTTAATGGATCTGTACCCCATAGGGTGGTACCATACTTATCAGAGACCCAGCCTCTTCTTACATTCCTACTGTGCAATTTGTAGCATGCTTCTATCTTTAAGGTGTTCTTATGGTCCAAGGTGGTTGCTGGAGCTCCAGCCACCATGTCTGAGTTCCAGGTAAGAAGCAAGGGAAAGGGACAAAAGTAAAAAAGAGTTCATGCAATCTGGCTATGCTTCTCTTAAGAAGCCTTTCTAGGAGTTTCGTGTTCAGCTGCCATGGAGGCTGTGAAAAGTAGTTTAGCTGATCATATCTTCTACCTGGTAAGAAGAAGAGAATCAATATTGGTTTGACAGCTTGTCTCTTTCATAACTGTAAATTAGGACTCTAACATTGCCATCACAGTGATGGTTTAATTGATCAAAGCATGGCTCCAAAATTAAGTTATCTTCAATTTTTCCCCTGTGAAAGATATGCCAAAGCCAGTAGAATGCAGGTTTCCTTAAAGTTTGTTTGCATGAGAGTAATTAACTTCAAGGTATGAAACTAAGATTTTTGAGTTCTGAAAGTAAAACAGGTTGCCAGTCATTTATGTTTTGCATTTAGCACACAAATATGTACAGACATATATATGTATTTTGTCATTCTGTACGTTGATGGATCATAGGATATCTCCAAATTGGTACAATATATATAAGGAATGAAGCCAGCCTATATATAAGGATCAACTCTTTCCTTGATCCAATCATTTAAAAATTACATCACTAATAATTAGCCTAGAAAAAAATGATCTGATAATTAACATACTTTTCCCATGAGAATGTTCTAAGAACTAAAATGTGATATAGAATAAAATATGAAAAATGTACCTTTTCCTTTGCAAAGTCTTACATTTTACATAAAAAATAATTTAAGTCATGAAGATGAGGTTTTTTTTGGAGAGAAATATTGTAATTCTCATGAGAATTAAAGCTTAATGATAAACACAGAGATATGGGCTTGAAGGACCCCAGCATGGTCAAGGCAGATTGGGATAGAAAATGCTGATTTCTGGGGTCAGAGGTGAATGTGAATGTCTCAGGAAATGAGACAGAAGTAGGAGGAGAGATGCAGCTCAGCTTTCATGATCTAATCAGTCCCGCTTGTGTTTGTTGCCATGTTACGAGTATGTGCTCATGGCCCTGTCTGCTACTAGCAGTGAATCATGCTTGCAAATAAATAAACATTAATAAATGAAGATGATTTGCATAATAAATTCCAACTTTAAGTATTAAGTCATAATCCTCACATCTGATTTTTCAAGTTCCCCTATAAAGTTGCCAGATAAAATACAGCATGCCCAGTTAAATTTGAATTTCAAATAACTAAGGAATTTTTTTTAGTTTATATCTGCAATATTGCATAGGACATACTTATACTAAAAAAATTATTCATTGTTTATCTGAAATTCAAATTTAGCTGGTGAACTGAATTTTTATTTGCTGAAATGGGTGAACTTACATCAAGAAAATCACACAATTGTGCCCACTGGTACCAGGACTAATATAAAGTTCCTTACCTCAACAGGACATTACCTCACCTTTTTTTTTTTTTTTTTTTTTCGTAAGAGACAGAGATCTTGCTATGTTGCTCCAGCTGGACTCAAGCTCTTGGCCTCAAGAAATCGTTCCTGCCTCAGACTCCAGAGTAGCTGGGACTATACACATGTGCCACTCTGCTGGCTTAGCAATAGCACTTTTCTTTCTCTTTTATGAGTCCCCTCTCATCTTCTCCATGACCTTTATAGTTTTTTCAAACATCTTAGCTTTCTCAGAAAAGGGAAAAGGGGAAGCAGGGAGAGCTTAGGTAGAATTCCCTCAGCCTGTTCCCTAACCCTCTCTCCTCAAATGTTTGTGCCTGTTTTCCTATCCCTGAGCCATTTCTTCTTGTCTCAGATCTGAGGTCTTCCTGTTGAAAATTTTTCCCCTGGGCCAGGCACGGTGGCTCACGCCTGTAATCCCAGCACTTTGGGAGGCTGAGGTGGGTGGATCACCTGAGCTCAGGAGTTCAAGACCAGCCTGACCAACATGGTGAAACCCCATCTCTACTAAAAATACAAAAAATTAGCTAGTCATGGTGGTGGGCACCTGTAATCCCAGCTACTCAGGAGGCTGAGGCAGGAGAATGCTTGAACCCAGGAGGCAGAGGTTGCAGTGAACCGAGATCACACCATTTCACTCCGCCTGAGTGACAAGAGCCAAACTCCATCTAAAAAAAGAAAAAGAAAGAAAGAAAGAAAATCTTTCCCTTGCGTGGATTCCAGAAACTCAGCTACTCAGGGGTGTAGCTTCATCTCCAACTTATTGCTCCCTGCTGCTTCTTTTTCTTTGGCACATAAACAATCCAGGCTCTTTGATGTTTAACCAAAGGCCCCTCTTGGCTTTCTGTCACTCTTTCTTGGACACTCAAGCTCTTTGAGAAGCAGTCTGCACTGGTGGGTCCCAAACCTGACTAATCATCAGCATTACCTGGGAAATTTATTTAAACTATTCGTTCAAGGTCCCTCTCCAGACCTACTAAATCCCAGGGAAGGACCCTCCTATGCTTAGCCAGTTCTACCTCTTCAGTCCCTTTGGGCTCTGTCTCTGCCTTTGAGTGCCCACTGGCTCTGCTCTGGCTCAGGCAAGCATGACTCCTGCTAGGGATACTGTAGCTCTCTTTCAGCTGCTCTACCATGCCTTACATGCCTCTACTCTCCTGCAACACACTTCCAACTGATCCTCAATTTGAACGTCATAAATTCATACATCTTGTCACATTCCTAATTTGAGTCCTTAAAGGATTTCTCTTTGCCTTCAGGATAAAATCCAAATTCCTTGGCATGCCTAGCAGAGCTCCTATTTATGTCACCACTCCTAACTGTGCACCCCAATCATTCATCACTCCCCACCCCCCAAGAATACTTAATCACCTGCAATTTCTCCAGGCACTGCACCTTCTTGTTTCTCAGGTTTTACTTGTACAACGTCAAAGCTGCTTCTACTTGGAAAACCTTTAGTCCACCTCTTAACCCCAGTCCTCCTTATCCTCTAAGACACAGGAATTACTCATATGCCTGTCTGCCTTTACTACCAACAGTGAGCTCCTTGAGAACAGACAAGGTATCTGATTCATTTTCGTGGCCCTCACTGTATACCACAAGGTCATAATATTTAATAGACTGTTGTAGCTGCTTGTTAAAAGAAAGAATGCCCAGATGAACCACTGAATGATTAAATTAAAAAATATTTAAGGCCGGGGGTGGCTCACACCTGTAATCCCAGTACTTTGAGAGGCCGAGGTGGGTGGATCACGAGATCAAGAGATCGAGACCATCCTGGCCAACATGGTGAAACCCCGTCTCTACTAAAAATACAAAAATTAGCTGGGCATGGTGGTGCACGTCTATAGTCCCAGCTACTCAGGAGGCTGAGGCAGGAGAATCGCTTTATCTCAGGAGGCAGAGGTTGCAGTGAGCCGAGATTGCGCCACTGCACTCCAGCCTGGCTCTGTCTCAAAAAAAAAAAAAAAAAAAAATATATATATATATATATATATATATATATATATATATATATATACACACACACACACACACACACATATGTATATATTTAAATCCAACAAGTTATTTCCGAGGGAAGAAGTGTTAGAATGTAAATTAAAATTTCTAAAGGCAACTGAAACTTAGGATATAGATTTAGAAGTGGACAGGATTTCAAAGTTCATATAATCAATTTTACAAATGCTGGCACTTAAAAAAAAAATTAAAATACAAAATGTAACACAGGGCTGGGCGCAGTGGCTGACACCTGTAATCCCAGCACTTTGGGAAGCTGAGGCAGGCGGATCTTCTGAGGTCAGGAGTTCGAGATCAGTTTGGCCAACATGGTGAAACCCTGTTTCTACTAAAAAAACAAAAATTATCCAGGCACAGCGGTGGACGCCTGTAATCCCAGTTACTCGGGAGACTGAGGCAGGAGAATCGCTTGAACCCGAGAGGCATAGGCTGCAGTGAGCCAAGATCACACCACTGCACTCCAGCCTGGGCGACAGAGTGAGGCCCTGTCTCAAAAAAAAAAAAAAAAAAAGTAACTCAGGTTTATATATACACCTCATTAAAACCAACTGGGAGCGTATTTACCTGTTTCTTGTTTTGTTTTTTACCCTTGGCTCTCTCACATTTCTTTTATCTTCCTCTTCCCTATAAAGTCCTACAATGGCTACCAAATTTTCCTTTTTTTTTTTTTCCTTTTGACAGGGAGTCCCGCTCTGTCGCCCAGGCTGGAGTGCAGAGGCACAATCTCGGCTCACTGCAACCTTGGCCTCCCGGGTTCAAGCAATTCTCTGGCTCGGCCTCCCGAGTAGCTGAGATTACAGGTGTCCACCACCAGGCCCAGCTAATTTTTGTATTTTTAGTAGAGACGTGGTTTCACCATCTTGGCCAGGCTAGACTTGAACTCCTGACCTTGTGATCCACCCACCTTGGCCTCCCAAAGTGCTGGGATTACAGGTGTGAGCCACCGTGCCTGGCCTTAAATTTTACTTTAAGTTCTGGGATACATGTGCAAAACGTGCAGGTTTGTTACATAGGTATACATGTGGCATGGTGGTTTGCTGCATCCATCAACCCGTCATCTAGGTTTTAAGTCCCACATGCATTAGGTATTTGTCCTAATGCTCTCCCTCCCCTTGCCCCCAACCCCACGTCAGGCCCTGGTGTGTGATCTTCCCCTCTCTGTGTCCATGTGTTCTCATTGTTCAACTCCCACTTATGAGTGAGAACATGTGGTGTTTGTTTTTCTGTTCCTTTGTTAGTTTGCTGAAATCCAGCTTCATCCATGTCCCTGCAAAGGACGTGAGCTCATTCTTTTTAATGGCTGCTTGGTATTCCATGGTATATATGTACCACATTTTCTTTATCCAGTCTATCATTGATGGACATTTGGGTTGGTCCCAAGTCTTTGCTATTGTGAAAAGTGCTGCAATAAATGTATGTGTGCATGTGTCTTTATAGTAGAATGGTTTACAATCCTTTGGGTATATACCCAGTAATGGGATGGCTGAGTCAAATGGTATTCCTGGTTCTAGATCCTTGAGAAATCGCCACACTGTCTTCCACAACGGTTGAACTAATTTACACTCCCACCAACAGTGTAAAAGCATTCCTATTTCTCCACATCCTCTCCAGCATCTGTTGTTTCCTGACTTTAATAATCACCATTCTAACTGGTGTGAGATGGTATCTCATTGTGGTTTTGATTTGCATTTCTCTAATGACCAGTGATGATTAGCTTTTTTCATATGTTTGTTGGCCACATAAATGTCATCTTTTGAGAAGTGTCCGTTCATATCCTTCATCCACTTTTTGATGGGGTTGTTTTTTTTCTTGTAAATTTGTTTAAGTTCCTTATAGATTCTGGATATTAGACCTTTGTCAAAGGGGTAGATTGCAAAATTTTTCTCCCATTCTGTAGGTTGCCTGTTCACTCTGATGATAGTTTCTTTTGCTGTGCAGAAACTCTTTAATTTAATTAGATCTGATTTGTCAATTTTGGCTTTTGTTGCAGTTGCTTTTGGTATTTTAGTCATGAAGCCTTTGCCCATGTCTATGTCCTGAACGGTATTGTCTAGGTTTTTTTCTAGGGTTTTTATGGTTTTAGGTTTTACACTGAAGCCTTTAATCCATCTTGAGTTAATTTTTGTATAAGGTGTAAGGAAGGGGTCCAGTTTCAGTTTTCTGCATATGGCTAGCCAGCTTTCCCAGCACCATTTATTAAATAGGGAATCCTTTCCCCATTGCTTGTTTTTGTAAGGTTTGTCAAAGATCAGATCGTTGTAGATGTGTAGTGTTATTTCTGAGGCCTCTGTTCTGTTCCATTGGTCTATATATCTGTTTTGGTATCAGTATCATGCTGGTTTGGTTACTGGGCTACAAAATTTTCTAATGCATCTAGTAACTCCAGCTAGTAACCTCAATTCAAATGATAGTATGCCTTGTCTATTTGCCTCTGTGCTAAATAGGTCAAATGTTTCACAATCCATTGTCCAGCTCTTACTTCTGGCCTGGGAGTAGGATATTTCAACAGAGTAGAACAGTCTATTTCCTCCCACCTGTGCAGACATTTATCATCAACCTTTCATGTTTTCACAATCATTTTTATTATTAATAATTATCTCCATATTAACTAGAAATTATACAATATTGAAGCAAAAATGATGTAAATAATATTATCTTTCTTCAAGATATACAGGGATCACTTGTGTATGGTGTATGTATGTTGGATTTGCAAGCACATGTGCAAAATATTTATTAATCTATCTTGTATCACCCTTTATGCACAAGATTTGTCTTCTCTTGCAAATAGGATAGTATTATTTTTTTCCCTCCAATTTTTTTTACTGTGGTAATACACATAACATAAAATTTACCATCTTAACTGTTTTTAAGTGTACAGTTCAGTGGTATTAGCTACATTCATATTATTGTACAACTGTCATCACCATCCATCTCCAGAACTCTTTTCATCTTGCAAAACAGAAACTCTACCCATTAAATAATAACCCTCCATTTTCCCAACCCTACAGCCCCTGGCAACCACCCTTCTACTTTCTGTCTCTATGATTTTGACTACTCTAAGTACTTCATATAGATGGAATCATTTGTCTGCGATTGAATTATTTCACTTATTATCATGTCCTCAATATACATCCATCTTGTAGCATGTGACAGAATTTCCTTCTGAGTAATAATGTGCTAAGTATATACCACATTTTGCTTATTCATTCATCCATAAAAGATACTTAGTTTTCTTTCATGTTTTAGCTATTTTGAATAATGCTACTATGAACATGGGTGCACAAATATCTCTTCTAGACCCTATGTTCACTTTTGGGGGTTTTATATACCCAGAAGTTATTAATAAATTGCTAGATTATATGGTAATTCTATTACCATATTAGTTTTTGAGAAATGGCCATACTATTTTCCACAATGGCTGTACCATTTTACATTCCCACCAACAATGCCCAAGTGTTCCGATTTCTCCAAATCCCCATTAACACTTGTTATTTTTCTGTTTTTTTTTTTTTTTTTTTCAGTTGTTATCCTAGTGGGTGTGAAGGGGTGATTTGTTTTTATTATTAGGATTATTTTACCTAAATTGATTAATTGGATAGCTTAAAGTACTTTTGTTTCTACTGATAATTTTTTAGTTTGCTTCTGAAGCATTTTGTTTTTGTTGGCAAATGATAGATAAAACATACTGCTTTCATTTCCTGAATACTTAACTATAGTGTTTCTTTTTTTTTTTTCTTTCAACTTTTAAGTTCCAGATCTATAGTGTTTCTAACATCAGATGATCAGTGATCAGTGACCTTAAATTGATGACATAATCACAGGCACTTCCCAACCTTGATATTTTGTGGTAAAGTCAGAAAAACTAAGTATTTTTGTTTTTAAAAAAGGTCACATTTAATGACTATATATTTGATAATATTAAGAATTACTGTTTAGGCTTTTTTTTCAAGCTATGATAATGGATATTGTGATTACGTTTAAAAATGTTCTTATATTTTAGTGGTACGTGCTGTCTTAGTTTAGGCTGTGTAACAAAGTACCATAGACTAGGTGGTTTAAACCAGCAGTCTCCAACCTTTTAGGCACCAGGGACCAGTTTCGTAGAAGACAGTGTTTTCAGACGGTGGTGGGTGAGGAGATGGTTGGGGATGAAACTGTTCCACCTCAGATCATCCAGGCATTAGATTCTCATAAGGAATGTGGATCCTAGATCCCTTGCATGCGCAGTTCACAATAGGGTTCGCGCTCCTATGAGAATCTAATGGAGCTCAGGCGGTAATGCTCGCTTCCCCACCGCTCACCTCAAGCTGTGTGGCTGAGTTCCTAACAGGCCATGGACCAGTACCAGTCCGCGGCCTGGGGTTTGGGGACCCCTGTTTAAACAACAGATATTTATTTCTCATGGTTCTGGAGGCTGAAAATACAAAAATCAGACTGCCAGCATGGTTGGGTTCTGGTGAGGGCACTCTTCCTGGTTCCAGACTTTTCATTATATTATTACATGGCAGAAAGAAAGCAAGAGAGCTGTCTAGAGCCCCTTTTTAAGGGCAATAATCCCATTCATGAGAGCTCAGCCAAGACCTAATCACCTCCCAAAGGTCTCATTTCCTAATATCATCACACTGGGCATTAGGATATCAACATATGAATTTTGGGGAGGCACAACTGTTTAGACCATAACACATACTAAAATATTTACAGACTAAATGATATCATGTCTTAGATTTGCTTCAAAACAATCCAGTGGAGGGCAGGTGGTGAGAAGAGGGAGGTTATAGATGAAACAAGATTGGTAATCAATTGATAATCATTGAAACTGAGTGATAGATTCATGAAGGTTTATTATACTGGTCTCTCTACTTCTGAGCAAATTATAATTTTTTTTTTTTGAGACAGAGTCTCACTCTGTCGACCAGGTTGGAGTGCAGTGGCGTGATCTTGGCTCACTGCAAGCTCGGCCTCCTGGGTTCAAGTGATTTTCCTGCCTCAGCCTCTTGAGTAGCTGGGGCAAATTATAATTTTTAATTTTAAAGACTTTTTTTTTTAAAAAAAGCTGTATTAAATCTGTTTAATTATTAAGTATTTGAAAAGATTACATTGGTAAGTATATTGAGAGTTGTTTTTCACTTAATGCAGAAAAGAAAAATGTAAAATAAGACCTGTATATTGTACTCACATATTGCTTTACTTGTATTTTATTCTTACCATAGATGATTGATTATTCTCAAATGATATTAAGCTTGGTTCATACTAGAAACAAGTTTTTCCTCTTCCCTCCCTCTGTCTCTCCCTTTCTTCCTTCCTTCCTTCCATCCCCAGGATAGACTTGAACTCTGGGCTTAAACAATCCTCCTGCCTCTGCCTCCCAAGTAGCTGGGACTGCTGGTGTGCACCACCTTGCCTAGCTATAAACAATTTTTAATGTCTAAATATTGCATAATGAGTTGCATAAAATTGTGACAAAAACACACTACTCTTGAAATGATGCATAATCCAAGCATGCCACTCTCTGGCTACAGACATAGTACAGCTCAGTACAATAGAAGTTCCTGCAATGATGAAAATGTACTGTATCTGCTCTGTCTAATATGCTAGCCACTAATCACATATGGCTATTGAACTGACCAGTGCAACAAAGTGGCTAGTACAACTGTTGAGTGGCTAATGCAACTGGGAAATAAACATTTAAATTTACTGATTATCATTTATATGTTTAAGCACTTTTCTTTAGAAGATTTGACAAATTATGTTTTGTTTGTTTGTTCGTTTGTTTTTGTTTTTTTGAGACGGAATTTTGCTCTTCTTGCCCAGGCTGTAGTGCAATGGCACTATCTCGGCTCACTACAACCTCCACCTTCCATGTTCAAGCGATTCTCCTGCCTCAGTCTCCTGAGTAGCTGGGATTTACAGGCATGCACCATCACGCCCAGCCAATTTTGTATTTTTAGTAGACGGGGTTTCTCCATGTTGGTCAGGCTGGTCTCAAACTCCCAACCTCAGGTAATCCACCCACCTCGGCCTCCCAAAATGCTGGGATTACAGGTGTGAGCCACCACACCTGGCCTTGACAAATTATGTTTTTCAGTTAAGATATACATCCTTTGGACAAGTGAAAAATAAAATAAAAAAGTCCGTAGATGAAAAAATCAGGAATTAGTAGTTATACTACTTGACATCAAATATTTTCTTGATGTTAAAACTTATACTGAAAAAGCATTATAAATAAGTTGTCTATAAACAACTGTATTAGTCTGAAGAGCTTCCATAAGAAAACACCACAGACTGGGTGGTTCAAGCAACATAAATATATTTTCTTACAGTTCTGGAGGCTAGAAGTACAAGATCCAGGTGCTGTCAGCGTTGGTGTCTGATAAGGCCTCTCTTCCTGGCTTGTAGATGGCCATCTTTTCACTGTGTCCTAATATGGACTTTCTTCTGTGCATGCATGCAGAAAGAGAGATCTATGGTGTCTCTTCCTTATCCTGTAAAGACAACAATCTTATCAGATTAGCGCCCCATCCTTGTGACCTCACTTAAACTTAATTACTTTGCTTAAAGGCCCTATCTTCAAATACAGTCACTCAGGGGTTAAGGTTTCAACACATGAATTTTAAGGGGATACAATTCAGTCCACAACAATAATGATATAAATTTTAACTGTAGTTAGTTCATTTTAATCTACCTTCTTTTAAGATTTCATTATTTACATATCAAACCAAGGATTTTAAATAGCTAATGATAATAAGTCAACATTTATAGAATGCTTACCATATGTGAGGCACTATTCTAAGCATTTTATATGTTTTAACATATTAACCCCTATACCAACCCTAAAAGCTAGGTATGCCATTAACATTCTCATTTTTCAACGAAGAAACTGAGACAGAGAAATAGTAACTTCCCCAAGTTTATGCTAGCAACTGGTGGAAGACAGAATTTTAACCCAGAAATTTGTTTCAATCCTTTTTTAATTGCTTTGCTATACTATTGCTCTTGAAATAATTTGCTTAGAGAAGGATTAAGAGAGAATGATTAAGTACTTGTTAAAAATGTGTTCATGAAGTTTCTCATCACTTTGGAAAAATCCCATGTAGGTAATTATATTATAAAGTTAAGTGAAAAAAGGACATAAAATTGAATATAGAGAATTATTCATTATGTTTAATCTCCCCTCTCCCCTCAAAAAACTATGCTTAGAAAAAAAGACCTGAAATAAATCTGTTGTCTACCTTTTGTATGTTCAAAATTTCTTTTATCAGAAAAGTGTTTATTATAAAACTTTAGTTATTAAAATTATGAAGATAATTTAAAAGTTATTTATGGTTATAGTAATATTTTAAGTTAGAGGCAATCTAAATCCAGTTTTTTATAAAAGTTCATAAAAAATCTAGCTGAAAAGGTTTGGCCTTTTATTTCCTCAGATGCTTACCCTGATACTTAGATTAGTTTTAGTTGAATCTGAAGATGTTTTTATTTATAATGAGTTATTAAGTCTATATTTCTTAAAGATATGATTTTGTTTTTCAGATAAACAAAGTAAAACAGTTCTCTCCACAGACAAATCATTAGTACTCCTTAAATTGAACTTTTTGACTTGACCTTTCTGAGGTTAGCAAATAGATTGTGGGCAGAAGAAAAAGTTCATGTTTCACAAATGATTCCTGTCTTCTTTCACTGATTTTAGTACTTTACAAGATAAAAATATCTTCAGGACATGCCACATATGTACAACCTAAGATGACTTTTGATAAAGCAAGAGACACATTGCTTACCTTAGTCTGGACTCCTGAGATGTATGGAACTGTCTTGAATTGTCTCCACTCAACAGGAGTCATGTTTCTAGCTGTCAGTTGTTGGATACCTACTATTTGCAGACTTTATTCTAGGTATCTCATTATTTTATTAAATCCTCACTCCAGTCCAGTGAGGTGGATATTTTCACTTCCATTTTACAATGAGGAAATTAAGATACAAAGCGAAAATTCAACTTGGCCAGGGCCAGCTGCTGTATGAGTAACAGAAGCAACTCTAAAATTTAGTTCTGCCAAGGGCAGTAGTTATGAAGATTAAATAAAATAACTCAGTAGAAACAACCCAATGTTAATTTGTGGATGAATGGATAAAGGAAAGGTGGTATATAATGCAAATGTATATTATTTAACCAAATAATTCTTACACTTACTGCAACATGGAATGAAATTCTGACACATACTACAAACAAAAAGCAATACGATTTTGACATATACTACAACATGGAAGAACCCCGAGGACATTATGCTAAATGAAGTAAGCCAGACACAAAAGGACAGATACTGCCTGCTTCCACTTATATAAGGTACCTAGAAGTGTGAAAGTCATAAAGACTGAAAGTAGAAATGTGGTTGCCAGAGGTTGAAAGGAGATGGGAATGGGGAACTAGTGTTTAATGGGTACACAGTTTCAGTTTGGGGTGATAAAAAAGTTCTGGAGATGTGGTGGTGGTGGCGGCAGTGGCATAACAATGTGAATGTACTTCATGTCACTAAAATGTACATGTAGACATGGTTAAAATCATGAATGTTATGTTATTTATATTTTATCAGAGTAAAACAGTCACCCATAAAGTCTCTTCAGTAGAGTTCTAGCTCATTATAGAACCAACACATGGTTGAGGATCACAAGAGACTATCTGTAATAATAAATAAAAGGAGATCATTAATGAGGTACCATTTAAGTGGTCAGACCTATTTTTGTTTAGAGAAAAATCAGGGAAAAATTTAGAGAACTCTACTTAGAGAAAATCAGAGAAAAATTCATGGAGAACTATTAGAAGTTTTCTAAACCTCATTTGCAAAGTATGATACTTTTTTAAAACCTCCTGGAATATTTCCTTGTTGAAATTAAAAATTCTTAAGAAATGATACAGCATCTTATGGTTATTTCTTTATAGCAATGGAAGGGAAACTTCAACCAATTTTAGTCACCAAATCAATAATGAGGCCTTATTCTATGCAGGTCTTATGTTAGGTATTGAAAGTGGAAACATCCAATCCTCTGCAGCCAGAGCTGGAAGGCAGGGGAAGTAAGCCCAGATAAAAAGCTATAAAGAAAAGAGATGAGCAGGCAAAATTGCTAAGGTGTTCTGAAGGAAACTTCAAAAGAAAGAGACAGATAGTCCCCGGGATGTTCACATAGACAAACACGCTCCCTGAAACTAAAGGTCAAATAAAGAACCAACAAAACAAAACAAAACTTCAAAGAGCCCATCTGTTGATGGACAGTTCTGTACCAATTTATTCCTCCTCTCCCTATTTTGTAATATGATTTTTCCTCTTCTACCTTGGGCATTTTCAACACAGGCGTAGAGAAAGAAGCAGAAAGTGAGGGAAATCTACCACATCTGACCATTCGCCTGAGCCTGGTTCCTGAAGCCAAGAAGAATGAAAAGGGACGTCAATATCTCTATCTGCATTTCTATATCTAACACGGGACCCATTTCCCGAAAAATAATGAGTTGCTGCAAATCCAAGAAAAAAAGTAGGAGACTCAGTACAAAAATAGACAAATAAATAGGTCAGCAAAGATGACCTCCAGATGGTCAAGAAGCATATAAAGAAGAATTTAACAGTCATTGGAAAATCCAAATTAAAATAACCAGATACAACTATAGTCTCATCAGAACACCTAAAATAAGAAACAGAGACAATATAAAATGTTTGTGAAGCTGTGGCTCACCTGGAATTCCCATACATTGATGATGGGAGGAAAAATTGGTATAAACATTTTAGAAAACCATTTGGCAGCATCTACTAAAGCTGAATACACACACTATTTTCATTTGTAGGAATATACTCATCAGAAATCAGTGCGTATATTCACCACAACATGTACAAGAGTATTCTTAGCAGCATTGTTCGTAATAGCTCTCTTATGGGTTGAACTGTGTCCCCTCCACCCTCCAAATTCACATGTTAAAGTCCTGGGCTGAGAATGTGATCTTGTTTGGAAATGGTGTTGTTGCAGATTTTATTAGTTAAGATGAAGCCATACAGGAAAAACGTGGGTCCCTAATCCACTATACTGCTGACCTTATAAATTGAGAAAATTTGGATATAGAAATGTACGTAGAGAAAATGCCATACCAAGATGAAGACAGAGATCAGGGTGATACTTTTACAAGCCAAGGAATATCAAAGATTGCCAGCAAACCACCAGGAAGTATGGGAGAGGAATGGAACATATTTTTCCTTACAGCCCTTCAAAGGAATCAACCTGCTGACACCTTGATCTTGAACTTTTGGCCTCCAGAACTATAAGACAATAAATTTCTGTTGCTTAAGCCACTTGGTTTGTGGTGCTATGTAACAGCAGCCCTAGGAAACTAATGCAAGACCCAAAACAGAAAGAACTCAAATGCTCACCAGTCATATTTATTTAGTAAAACAGGTAAATAAATAGCGTATTCACACAATGAAATACTATACAGCAACAAAAATGAATAAACTACAACTGCACCCAACAATATGAATAAATCTTGCAAACATGAAAATGAATCAGACTCAAAAGGATACATATAGTATGCTTCTATGTACATAAAGTTAAAAAACTGTGGAAACTAATTTATGGTGTTAAAAGTCAGGATAACGGTTATACTTTGTACAAAGGTAGAGGCAAGAAGTGTGCCAGGGGGTCTTTTGAGGTTCTGGAAATATTTTATCTCTTAATGTGGGTGCTGGTTGCATGGGTTTATTCAGCTGGTGGAAAATCATCAAGGGGTACAAGTACATAAAAGTATACACAAGGCGTGTACTTTCCTGTATTGGTGTATATTGTGATAAAAAGTTGTTAAAGTAAAAAAAAAAAGCCAGCAAATCTCCCTTCTCCAGTTGTTTGTGACCTTTGTTAAAATTTCTTAGGATTCTAAGACTCAGTTTCCTGATATATGTAATGGTAATAGTACTTATTCTATATGTTTGTTGTGAGTTGACACATATGAAGTTGTGACTTGATACATATGAAGACTTAGCAAAATGCTAGCAGTATTCAATAAATGTTAGCTATTATTGCCATATTATGATCGACAAACATAGTAATAGTTTCACTTCTGGATAAACAACTAGCGACATATTTTCTATGGTTACACACACTGGAATCTATTGCGAATTTTGTGACGAGTTATTATGTAAGGTAGAAGTCCAGACACATAGCGTAGAAAAAATATGGAGTCAAGCTGGGAGACCTAATTGACTTGTCTGTTCTATTAGATAGTCTCCACCCTCCCTGAATTACAATTTTTACTCCATATTTTAAGTGCAAAATATTTTAAATTTTTTCTTTTTTTTTCTTCTTTGAGAGCCACTGGAAAATTATAAGCCTTTATACTTGTATGGTTATATACAAATATAACATATATACAAATATATGTTGAGCTTCACAACAACCTGACAGATAGGGATGGAATTAATATTCTGACATTAAAGATGAGCAAACCAGCTCAGCAGGTTAAGTGACTTATCCAGGATCACCTTGCTAATATACAGCAGAGTTGGGACCATGGCTATTACAAAATTATTTGGATAATTCAGTAAGTGAAGGAAGGAGATGTTTTGTTGTTGTTGTTTTTGAGGCAAGGTCTTGCTCTGTTAACTTGGCTGGGGTGCAGTGATGTGATCATAGCTCACTGCAACCTCTAACTCCTGGGATCAAGGGATCCTCCTGCCTCAAGCTCCCAAGCAGATGGGACTACAGGTACACACCACTGAACCTGGCTAATTTTTTTATTCATTTATTTTTTGTAGAGACAGAGGCTTCACTTTGTTGCTGAGGCTGATCTCTGGGTCTTACTCTGTTACCTAGGCTGGAGTGCAGTGGCGTGATCATAGCTCACCGCAACCTCTAACTCCTAAGCTCAAGTGATCCTCTTGCCTCAGCCTCCTAAAGTGCTGGGATTACAGGTGTGAGCCCAGCTGGAAGGAGAATAATGCAAGGTGAATAGTAAGAGAATATTTGCTTGAGCAATGATATCCAATAAACTTTCTGTGATGATGCAAATGTTCTATATTTGCTGTGTCCCACATGGTAACCACTAGACACATGTGGTAACTGAGCACTAGAAATGTGGCCAGTATGACTGAAGAACTGAATGTTTAATATTTTAATATTTATATTTAAGTGGTCATATGTGGCTAGTGGCTACTATATTGGACAGTGTAGTTGTATTGTTTCAGGAATCATGGTAAAGTCCCATGGTCAAAATTTGGAGGCTGGACTAAGCGAGGTAGGCTCCCACATACTTTACGTGTTTAGTTTCTCTTTTATCCCAACCTTATATAAATGGAAATGTATGTGTGGAGTTGGGATTCTTTGGTTTTTAAGCTTGAATACATACAACTAATGTTAGGTACTTATTGTATTTTCAATGATTATTTGTGGAGGACACTTTTATTGTACTTTTAAAAGTTGATGTTTTACTTGTTTTAAAGCATCAACCCCTGAGAGGATTCACAACTATATTAGAATTTATCCTTTTTGGTGACAATACAATGCCTGCAATGTTTCTTCCAAAAACATTTTTGACATGTTGAGTTCATAATGTGTTTGAGTTTTATAATACTGATTTTTATTAGTGCTGTTTTAGAAGGCTATTTCTAGTTGGATGAGGTAGGAACGGTCAATAGACTATTTTGGATTGTTTTATTAGTTACCACATTTGAATCAAGCTGGAAGTGAGATGGAGTTGCTTCCTAGATATCACTCTGAGGCTGCATTTACCTCTCTAAGCCTCAGTTTCCATATCTTTAAAATTAAGCTGTTGGGGTGGGTGATCTCAAAGTTATAGGATAAATAAAGGCTAAAGTTTTATGGTTCTAAGAAAACATGCATTTTCTTTCTTTTCTAGACAACTGAGTTCTAAAGAACTTACAGGGACTACAGGGAGCCACATCATCTGTCCCATTTAGACAAAAAAATTAATTTTGATTTTCTACTACCTGTGCAGTATTTGCGTGTGTGTGTGTGTGTGTGTGTGCGTGCATGTGGTTTTGTAACATTTATGCTTTTTTTTATTATATTTTAAGTTCTAGGGTACATGTGCGCAATGTGCAGGTTTGTTACATAGGTATACATGTGCCATGGTGGTTTGCTGCACCCATCAGCTCGTCATCTACATTAGGTATTTCTCCTAATGCTATCCCTCCCCCAGTCCCCCACCCCCTGACAGGCCTCGGTGTGTGATGTTCCCTGCCCTGTGTCCATGTGTTCTCATTGTTCAACTCCCACCTATGAGTGAGAACATGTAGTGTTTGGTTTTCTGTCCTTGTGATAGTTTGCTTAGAATGATGGTTTCCAGCTTCATCCATGTCCCTGCAAAGGACATGAACTCATCTTTTTTATGGCTGCATAGTATTCCATGGTGTATATGCGCCACATTTTCTTAATCCAGTCTATCACTGATGGACATGTGGGTTGGTTCCAAGTCTTTGCTATTGCAAATAGTACCACAATAAACATATGTGTGCATGTGTCTTTATAGTAGCATGATTTATACTCTTTTGGGTATATACCCAGTAATGGGATCACTGGGTCAAATGGCATTTCTAGTTCTAGATCCTTGAGGAATCGCCACTCTATCTTTGACAATGGTTGAACTAATTTATGCTCCCACCAACAGTGTAAAAGCGTTCCTATTTCTCCACATCCTCTCCAGCAACTGTTGTTTCCTGACTTTTTAATGATCGCCATTCTTACTGGTGTGAGATCGTATCTCATTGTGGTTTTGATTTGTACTTCTCTAATGACCAGTGATGATAAGCATTTTTTCATATGTCTGTTGGCTGCATAAATGTCTTCTTTTGAGAAGTGTCTGTTCATATCCTTTGCCCACTTTTTGATGGGATTGTTTGTTTTTTTCTTGTAAATTTGTTTAAGTTTTGTGGATTCTGAATATTAGCCCTTTGTCAGATGTGTAGATTTCAAAAATTTTCTCCCATTCTGTAGGTTGCCTGTTCGCTCTGATGATAGTTTATTTTGCTGTGCAGAAGCTCTTTAGTTTAATTAGATCCGATTTGTCTGTTTTGGCTTTTGTTGTCATTGCCTTTGGTGTTTTAGTCATGAAGTCTTTGCCCATGCCTATGTCCTGAATGGAATTGCCTAGGTTTTCTTCTAGGGTTTTTAGGGTGTTAGGTCTTACATTTAAGGACCTCTTCAATAAGAACTACAAACCACTGCTCAACGAAATAAAAGAGGACACAAACAAATGGAAGAACATTCCATTCTCATGGATAGGAAGAAAAGGTAATTTATAGATTCAATGCTATCTCCATCAAGCTACCACTGACTTTCTTCATAGAATTGGAAAAAAACTACTTTAAAGTTCATATGGAACCAAAAAAGAGCCTGCATAGCCAAGACAATCCTAAGCAGAAAGAACAAAGCTGGAGGCATCATGCTACCTGACTTCAAACTATACTACAAGGCTACAGTAACCAAAACAGCATGGTACTGTTACCAAAATAGACATATAGACCAATGGAACAGAACATAAGCCTCAGAAATAACACCACACATCTACAATCATCTGATCTTTGACAAACCTGACAAAAACAAGCAATGGGGAAAGGATTCCCTATTTAATAAATGGTGCTGGGAAAACTGGCCAGCCATATGTAGAAAGCTGAAACTGGATCCCTTCCTTACACCTTATACAAAAATTAACTCAAGATGGATTAAAGACTTAAATGTATGCTTTTGTTTTTAAAAGTCAGTATCTGGAATTCCACTTGGTGTCTTCACCTTTACTGGGGAAATCATGCCAGATTTCTCAACAATCATCTTCATAAACAGAATTTATAGATATTTTATGAGAATTTCACATATAATTTAGGTGAAGTGAAATGCAATATAAATATTTTATTTTTTCTAGGATATACCAGCCAGATACAAAAGGAACTTCCTTTTTTTTTTTTTCCAGACATTATCTTGGCTTACTTTGGCATTGTCAGGCCACTAGTTTTTTCACCTATTTGAATGTTAAAGCCAGGAAATGAGTATAATTTTCTTCTTAGTTCTAGAAAGGCAGCATCTGGTAAGTTATTCCATCTGATTATCACTGTCATTTTATCCTTCAGATATTGAGTGACCTTTATCCTGAGGGCGGAAATCAGGCAACTTTCTTATATAGTGACCTTATTGTTGTATCAGAATATGTTGCTAATGGTGAAGCAGTGTACTGACATTAGACTGTGTTAAACAAATGAGGCCTGGTTTCTGTTATGAAAGAAAAAGAGCAAATGCACATTAACATGTTAAGAAGATCTGGATGTGTAGGAGACATTTCTCTTTCCTAATATTTTACACATACAGACACACACACACCACACACACACACACACACACACACAGTGTTTGTCTTCTTATACAATAATCACATTAGCCAGTTAAGGGACACCTGTCATAACAGCCCTATCCTCAGTGACAGTGCTGCTCTTCTATGGCTTACAGAGTAAAAAGGAGATGACAACATAGAAAGTCCTGCTTTAGCATGGTCAGAGAACAGCCTTCCATACCTAAGGTAAAGCAAAGATTATTTTAATAACTTATGAGTTATTCTAAGTTCAAATATGAATTCCCCAAAGCAAAATGGCTACTGATTTGCTCACATTTGTTGCCTATTACCAAACAAAGGAAAAATGAAAATGCTAAATAAAAATATTGTTAGGACTGAGATGCAGCTTATCAGAATTCAGATCTTTTCCAAGTGTTTACTGGTGATGCCATCATATATATGTATTATATAAGGCTGATAGGAAAACTTAAATTTAGGAAATTCATTTAAATTTCTAAGGTAACTCTCTGGTACTTCATTCCTTTCTCCTGTTCCTTCCTCTATCTTTTATCTTTACTATATAGATACTATATTAGTTTGTTGTATTTAAATAAACAGGGAATGTCAGTTCTCTCTATTAACTTGGTTAGATTACAGCCCTAATTATTCAAACACTCACATAGGCATTGTGGTGATTTAATAGATGTAATTAAAGTCTTGAATCAGTTGACTTTAAGTAAAGAAGATTATCCTCAATAATCTGGGTGGGTCTGATTGAGTCAGTTAAATGTACTTAAGAGCAGAACTGAGGATTCCCTGAGGAAGAAGAAATTCTGCCTGTAGACAGCAGCTTCAGCTCCAACCCTAGAGTTACAGGGGTCTGTCCTCTGGATTCCGGACTTGCTGGACCAGCCCACAGAACTGTGTAAGCCAATTCCTTGCAATAAATCTCTTAGGATATGTCTTCTGCTGACTCTGTTTCTCTAGTTGAATCTTGACTGATAAAAAGTTTTATTTCAGATTCTTTCAACATACTGGAGGAGAATAAAGAGAGGAAAAAGAAGTAGATACTTGTTTGTAAAATTGCTCACTTAGATATCCTCTCTAAAATTATAGAGCTGAACAGATGACGGAATCTCAGAACCAGTTAAATAAGAAACACTATGTGTAGCTAAACTGAGGTTCAAGCCTACAAACTGATTAAAAGATATATATACATTATAAAAGATTCAGAGATAAAACTGGAGTCATTATTGTGTTAATTTTCATTTATATGTGAAAAGCAATAGTTTCTTATATTTCTAAAATATGCTTTAGAATTTAATGTCCAGAAAATGATTGCTAGTGAATTTTCATTAGGTAGAAATAGAAATTTTCAGATAATGTAATTTTACCTCTTTCCAGTCATTCTACAGGTAATTATACAAAAACCACACATATTCCAAATGCAATTCATTACTAAGATCTGTGATCACACTAACCATCAATAGCCACTTTGAGTAGTTCTTTGTGGTAGAGGAAGTGATAAAAAACTAAAAATCAGTGAAGTGGTAAGGAAAATTTGGAACATCGCCTCCCTGTGATTTAGGCCTGTGTAGACGGCTTTCTGTAGGCAATGGCATGTCTTACTGCTCTTTAACTGGTGGGACTCCCAACGAAGAATCCTGGCATTTGGGTGTGCAGCTCAATATATCTGACGATATAAGAAAGAGGATGATGAATGTTAAGTTGCTAGTTTACCTCTAGAGGGAATGGCCCTGCTTCTGGGAAGGTGGGAGGGGTTCCCAACGGGAAGTACGCCTCAGGCAAAGAGGTCCCCATGAACTCTATATAGCATCACACTATAGAACAACATCAAAATCATTCTTAGTAGGAAGGCTTACAGATACATTACATCCACATGAGAAAATGCTAACAATGTAGAGTCCTGAGGGTTATTCTGAAGATGAAACACCAACCATGTAAAATGATAGTTGTAATTATCTAACACAATTTTGATAATACTGCTCTATCACTGTACATATTGGTACTTGTCTTAGTTGGGTTCTCCGGGATGCAGATGCT